>NC_000007.14:114324960-114627991 GCF_000001405.40 Homo sapiens | reverse complement strand
ATTTAGCATATGACAACATGTGATAATTCATATAGGAGATATATATATATATGTGTGTGTGTGTCTGTGTGTATATCCAGAAAAATAATGACATACATAGGTCTTCTGAAAGAAGAACTCATATAACTAGTATTCTAGCTTCTTCTTTAAACCTTTTCTTATTTCAAGCAACTGAGCTTATAATAGGAAGTACAAAAATTTAGCAATTACTCAAAGGTTATTCATTAAACTGAAAATAATAAAAGTAATTTACTTAAAACTTTTTTCCCACTACTTCCTTTTTCTTCAGGGTTCTGAGGATGAGAGGCAAAAAGAAGATAGGGAAGGAGAAAAAGATATAAAGGAGAAAGAAGGAAGGAAGTAAGGAAAACGTAGAAAAAGGACAAGCTAGTGGGAAAGCCCTAGAGAAAGACAGAACGGATGTGAAGAAATAGGAAGAGGATGGTAAGAGTGGTGATCAGAAAAACTGGTATAGAAACCTAAAGTATATGCTCAGATAGAAGGCAAGTAACACTGTTTGAGGCATTACTTGTACTAACCAGTATGCAATCAAACAACTTGTCAACTTTCCAAGTTTGCAACCTTTGAAATAGTAATCACTTTCCTAGAAAAAACAATTCACTTTTACTGTAAATAAAAGCAAGTATTTATATAAATACTGTTTTAGAACAAATTTATTGGGCAACATGTCTTTCAAAACCAAAAAAGATTAAAAGATACGGTTCACAACTTATTTTAATTGTTATTTTTAATGCAGTTCAAACTTTTCCAGTGTGGCACTTTATGTTATGGAGAAAGGAGAAATTAATAATGAAAAGAGGTTAGAAGAAGCAGAAGAAAAAAAAAAAAGAAATCCAGGGTGGATTAATTCTTCCTCCAAAAAGAAATAAAGAACTAAATAAATCAAAACCTTTCATATTTAATACTGAAAAATAGCAATGTCTTTTCTTTTCTCCATGTTAACATATTCAGATTAATTAGATCAAATTGAGTAACTTGAAACATTATGACAGAAATTCAGTGATTTTAAAAAATATTTCTGTATTTTTAAGGAATATACTGGCATACCTATAAATTACTGAATTTGAATTTATTATAATAAAAAGCATTCTGAAATGTATATTGTAAAATTAATTCACCAATGGGTTTTTCAAGTGTTTAGTTGTTTTATAAAATTGACTGTCAATTTACTTAACTCCTTGTTCTCTGATAAACAAATAGAATGGTTAGAACAAGTAGTGAGAAAAAAAATGTATCAATCTACAAAAATGTCTTTTCTTCGAACAATCATTTACCTCATACTATTTCCAAATAGGAATCAAACTGAAATGGACAGAGAAAGATAGACATATTAAACTAAAAAGGCTGTCAATCTAGATAGATAGATAGATGATATAGAGTTTATAGACATGTACATGGATATATATAGAGAGAGAGACAGAGAGAGAGAGAGAGAGAGATATGCCTTCTATAAAGTTAATCATAGATAAGAAGCTTGTCGCACTTTTCTTACATAACCGCTCCTTATTTTTTCAGTATATAGCGTTTTAATTATCCCTTAATTATTCCTATACCTACAAGTACAAATACTTTATGTATAATGATAAGTGAACTTTATGGGGAAAGTTCTATGAATGGAGGTATGCCGTAAACCACTACGAGTTTACAGTCAGATTTCAGCTTATACATATAATATGACTGTAGAGTTTGTTGCTATTGTGATCGATTTGATAAATGAGCAAATTTAAGCAAGTTTTCTATCTTCATATTCTTTAGGGTATACTAGTCCTTACACTACACAAGTTAGATGATTATTTTTACTCCTAAAATGGTTTGAGTGCCTTTCAATTAATAGTTATGACATAAATATAACCATGAAATCATTCTCTTCTTAAGATCATATGTTTTAAATGGTCACATGTATGTGATTTTTTAAAATTTTAATCAGATTCTGGCCTACCTTCTAGGAAACTGTCATCTAAAACTGACAATATACAGATATAAAAATAAATAGAAAGATGAGCCAATTAACACATACATGATTGAACACTCTACTTCTATGTGTACAAAAGACATAAATTAAAATTAATTATATAGGTAGAAAAACACAGGTACACTTCTGAGGGTTTTCTAACACTACAAATAAAGTAATACTATCATCTCTAAATCCACATATATAAGCTCACCCAAACTAAGGAGATTACTAAAAATCTAAGTTATTTAATAAACAAAAAACTAGTTTTTTCTACAACAAAGGTCAGTAATATTGCAGACCCGTCCACTTGCAATTTGAGAAATGCATAGCCTTCATTTTTAAGTGACTCATTTTAAGCGACACATTTCCTCTTCTCCTCCCTCATCGTTTCTTGTTACTGTCCCATTTCATTTACTTGCTACCACAAGCTACTCTAGGTATTCATTGATAAAAATGAATAAAGATTAATTGTATACATATAAAAATGTAGAGATTATACTACTTACCAATATTTAAATAGACGAAATCAGTATCAGCCTTTTAAAAATTTATGGACAATTTTTTTGAAATACATATACCTTAGCAAGTTCGGTGTTAGACTAACGGAACTATTTTTCGCTAGATATGTAATTTGATTCATGCAAATATTCTAATAAGGGATCACAATTTAGACGTGTGACATAGAAGAGGAGGGAGAACTTACTTCTGGTGAGAAGGCAAATAAAAGTCTGGTGGCTCTACCACCAAATGAAATCAGAAGAAATAGCTCGTTTTGAATGGGTATTTATCAGTTAAAATTTTCAAGTGTGAAGGAAGGAAATAGAGTCATCTTTGGTTGGGAGATTTTTTTCTCTCTTGGTATTTACTTTGCTGACAGATTTAAAATTCTCCTTAGTGATGCACCAAACAAGGGTCTCCATTTACCCTTATTTATTATCTCATTACATGAATTAAGCACAAACCCGACATGCTGCTCTGTGCACCAAGAAGTATTACTTAACTGAATATAAAGATAGGTTTATGCATTCTAAAATGAGAGAGGGAAAATTCTGAAACTGTCTTGCAAAGAGTCAGTGGTAAAAGTAAAAAAAAAAATTTAGGTATTATCCTAGAATAGGTAAGTGTATTACAATTAATATCACCTATTATTAATAAGTGATATTAAATATAATTATATTTAGTTATGACATAAATATAACCATCACATCATTGTCATCCTAAAATCATATGTAAATCATAAAAACATATATATTATAAATGTGTTTATATTAAAATTTAAAGTATATGTCATTGAGGAGGTCAAAAAAGTTATTACGAGACAATGCAAAGATCATATCTCTGTTCAAATGCATCTAAAGAGTTATTGTAAGAGTTATGAAAACAAACCAAAATTTTTGTTTTACATAAGCACAGTCTTTTCACAGTCCAGTTCAGTTGGAGCATTTCTGAATGTGCTGGGCTTGCATATTAAGTGCGTCCCTTAATTAAACATCCCAATTATGTGTGGGAGATTGGAAAGGTTCTTAGTATAGTGTCAGTCCAATTCTTTCTTCACTAAATGTGAATTGGAAATAGCAGTCACAATCTATAGATGACATTTACAGTATAAAACATTATTTTCTTGTTAACACGGTCTGCCAACTAGTGGTTCACAGATCTTTTTATTCTTTGTTTAAAATTTGAAGACAAAGGAAGTCCTGACTCTTTTGCCTTCTTGGTACTTGAAAAATGTAACTATGACAATTAACTACTTGTGTAATAAAAGCAAAATTTGTTCTTATGTTACAGTATCTGCTCTGATTTTGACTGTTAATAGAAAATATTTTATTGTACATTCTTGATACATTTCTTCTGTTTGCTTCTATCCTCTGAAATATCTTTATTTACAGTTTATTTTAACATAAGAAACTATTTATTGCATTGGAATGCCAGCTTTGGTAAAAATTCAAGCCTTGGTTACATGTGTAATGTCTATCATAATAATAGCCTTTCAAAAGCTTCCTGGTTTTATGGTATTAAAAAGAACTGACAATGAATTGAGTGGTATTTGTAAGCTTTTCATCAAGTACTGAACAGGAGTATTTAAAGAGATCTGGGATGGACAGTGCATATTGCTATTTAACGCAATCTTTTAGCAGCAGGGAAATAGTGTGACAGGAACAACAGAAATAATATAGCACAGTGCAATAACAGACACAGAGATTCCCTTTAATCATGATTCATCACTTAATTTCTACTATTACTTTAAGACACAAGTTTTAGTATTCATTTAGTTACCTTGATAAAGCAAAGTGTTTCCTGTTTTGGGAAGTAGTGTTTGTCCAACTTTGTCCTTCTCTTAGTTACAGACAAATATTTCAAGAGATTATATTCTTTTCTTTGTACTGCTGGTGAAAACCAGACTGCTCATATAGGCGTGTCATTGTAGAGATTATGGAGAAGTGATATATAATATGCTACACCATATGCTTAAAGGCCAAAAATGCAACTTCTAATCTCACTCTGTCTAATCAAGCTGCTCAGATTATTTTACATACATCTTTGGTTTAGGCCTTGACATGCCCTTGTTTTTCTTTCTTCTCAAAGCTAAAGTTCCCCTCTTTGATTAGCTGAAACATTTGCATGGTCACTACACATTTTTCATTTTATAAATCATTATGCATTAGCAGTCTTGATCGCCTAGCTTGACTAATCCTGACGAACTGAAATCACAGCTGAAGGTCAAACTCCATCCCACTGCACATTCATATTCAAACAAATCTGCACCATTGTTCATTAGGCTCCTAAAATCATTGGAAAGAAGTTACTGCATATCTTACACTTATTTTTTATTCTTTCCAAAACTTAACCTATAGAACATTAATGCTTAACAGATAAAAGCAGAATACAAACAAAATCAATAATACTTTGCAACTGAAGTGCCTGGTTTTATTTTAAGTTGTAAAATCTAGAATATAATCAATAATTACATAGAATTAGAATACTTGAGTGCTCATTTGGGAGACAGGTGCACCATAAAAAGAGGTATAGTCATTTATGAAAACACCATCATTTATTTACATTTAGTAACTAAAAATGTTTATATGGCTAGTGAGCTAGATCCATTCCCTAGAATTAAGATCTTTCTCAGAATTACTGGGAGACTACTTTTCTGTAACTGTGCTAAAAATAATCTTTTATTTGTCTACATTCATAAATATTTCCTTTTAAATTTTAAAATGAATTTTAATACACCAGATACAAAAAACAAAACAATTGTGATTTTGATGGAACTCACAAAATTAGCCCAAATAATATTAATTTCAACAAAAAGCAAGCTGTCCTGATAAAAGACAACTCTCTAAGAAAGCAAAAATAAATATGAGAAGGAAGATCCTTTCATGCTTTCATAGGCACTCTCATAGATTGATGGATGATAATCATCTTAATTTCACTGCTCTCCAAAACAAAGAGTCAGAAAAGGCAGCAAAAGACACTAGCCCATTCATTCCAGGACCTGCACAATGCTAATTCCAACATTTAGCTGCATGGTTTTCTGCTTGATGTATCAGAGCTCAAAAGATGAAAGCAGAGAAGTAATTGCTCTCCTGGTTCTTATTCTTCGCTGACAACCCATAAATTTAATTTTACACACACATTCATTTACATTTTCAAGTATATGACATGATAATTGCCAGAATATAACACCTCCATTCCTGTAGATACAGCAACTCACTGATTGACAAGTGTGGTGAATAGAGAGGAATGGTGGTTGAATTGCAGAATTTTTTTTCTCCTGAAAATTACACTTAGAAGGGCTAACGGTAATAAGCATTTATGAAACAGTCTCACCATAAACATCTGCACATAAAATGAACAGTAGAACCTCAGATATTACAGTCTCTCAGCTTTTTGCGCTTTACACTGAACTCTACTACTGAAATAGTAAAATTACTAACAGCAGATCTACTGAAACACAAATGTATGAAACAGAGTCTACCCCCAGCATTTACTATACCCTTTGGTTGTGATTCTTCAGTCAGTCATGCCATTGCAAAGCAATAAAATATTTAGCCTGTTTGAAGTATTTAATTATATTTCAAGATAATTTAAATATTTAAATATTTTTCAATGAAATGTACATTATGTTTAGGTCTTGCCAAGGGGACATATTTTGCTATAGGGAGAAGTAGTTACTGATTATTTTTAAGTGTTTATTGATAAAGACTGAAACTCTTCAAAACCCTCCTGCCGCTGGGTACACTGATTTGTCTTTCTAGCTCACCATGGAGAAGGCTATAAACTGCCTTGCTTTTCTCTGGTTCCAAAGTTCAAGAATGGAACAAAGCCCTCTAAATTGGATCCTGATGAGAAAACATCAACTTCGAAGAAGAATTTCAGATCATTAGGATGCTCTCACTGCACTTGGAGTTGCTGATGAGCCTGTCTAACTGACACAGCCTAACTTCAATGGAAGAAGGCAGGAAAAAAAGGGAAAACTGAGGTAGATTTACTGAGAGTATTGTACCAACGACTTAGCAATTACTTTTTCGTGAATGTCCTAATTTGTACAGATCCAAGATTAGTTCATGTCTGCCAGGCTGTGAGTTGCTTAAGATTCCGTTGCTACTACAATTAACAATAGTAATGTATGCATCTTGGTGAAAGAACCATAATATCCCAAACTATACCTTTTGCCTTATATTGTACATAAATCATATCTGTCTACCCTCAGAATTAGAAAAATATTCTTAAGTTACCTATCCCATAAAGATTCTTTATAGATATCAAAAAGATGCTGATAATCATATTTCTAACATAAATTAAAAACAAACTAGCTCCTCCAAAATGTGTAACCAAAGCAAATTCTATTACTGCATCATCGAGAACAGTTGTAACCCATTAGTTATAGTATAAGGGCTTCATGTGCAAAAATTAACACCCCAAATTTCAGCATAATATATAAAAGAGACAATAGTTTAGCTGTAGTTAATAAACACTTATGGGCTGTCAAAGCAAAATTTCACATTTTAAACTCATAATTTCAAATGGTAGGAGAGAGAGTTTTGCCCAGAATTTATCCTCAAAATAATGTAGCTATTTGTTTAATGTAGTATACCCCTAGGTCTGTCATACCTATAACATTTCCCATAACTTTTAATACATATGAAAGTACATAGTAGATACCAAATCTGATTATTATGAAATACAATTTTTTTATGAAAGCAAAGGAATTTCATCCATGAATAGCTTAAACCCAACATATTCTATGGCATTTAGGTTAGATTATAAAACTATGCAGAGTCCTTTTTATATCTTCTACCTCTATTTAATTTCAAATTATGAGATATCATACTGTTGTAAATTATGTTGGCTAGACTATTTTCCCACAGTTGCAATATTTTGTTTAATAACTGACTTTCCATAAGATTATAAAGCTGTATTTAAGATAATTTTGCTCATCCTGTCTGAAAAGACTTCTACGATTACTTTTTACCAACTAGTCTTGCTGAAAGGTTTCTAGCATTATAGGTAATGTAAAGTCCATTAGGTCAGGCTCTTCATAGCATGACATGCAGTAAATTACAAGTGCTTCAAGCAGCTCAGTGAATTACAGTTCATCACTTTGAAAGGTTTCCCACTACAAGACCACAGATATCAGATCTGGCAGTTAGGATCCAATTAACACTTTGGTCAGAATAATCAGATTGCATGTGTAAGACTTGTATAATTCGTTTATTGCTTCCATGCATCTTCTGTCTGTAGGTAAATTTGTTGCTGTTATTTCTAAGCTTGGAATCAGTATTTCACTTGCCGTTAGGTTATATATCAAGTTCTTTTGTAGTGTAGCGATGAACTCCCCTTGTTTCAGCAATTTAAATCACTTGTCCTCTAGATATTACAGCTTGAGAAATGGTTTGTTTCTGGTAGTTTTGTTTTGTGCTCTTACCATGTCATTATATGTCTAGAAAAAATTGCTAGCAATTTTTACTAAGCACGTTTTATTTAGTGTATCAGAGACAGTTTTCTCCAACATGATCACTGTGAATCTTGCATAACAACCCTATACACCATAAATGACATATGCAATGACATTTACATGTGTACTGTCATGCAAAACTATTTCCTGCTACACTGAATATAATACTATGACTGAATGAAAAACATTCTGATTTGGTGATATCATTTTTCTAGCCATGGTAAGTTATTTAGAAGAGGTCCTTCAGGGGAAGACTAATGAGATAATAATATAACTCATATTTGGTACTTTTGGACAATACTTTCACAGCCAGTTTATTCATACTTTCAAACATTACAGCTAACTGAACAGAAATCGGAAAAGAATAATTTGACCCAAAGGAGGATACAGTTTCTTTTAAAAAATTGGATATACAAATTCCACTACTGCAAATTTTAAACCATAATGGCCTAATACATTTCATAAATTAAAAAAACCTAGCAACATTTTATGAAATAGCACCATATCCAATTCACAATGAAACATATATGTTATAAATTACTATTTCTTTATTCTCTTTTATATTGTACCTAATGCAGATTTAAGTTTCTAGATTCAGAACACATATTTCAAATCCAATATAAACTGTCACAGTACTATGAAAACACAGTTAAACATTCTCCTCATATGATGTATTAAAAATAATTGCTCTTTATAGATGAGATCTGAGTGATAACACTGGACTTACGGATTGAAAATATGCCCGTTTTGGTTTTACAAAGACAGCTATTTTGTGATTAGTGAAGATAATATAACTAGTATTTACAGTTTCTTTTCACAAAGTGGCCATTTCTTTTTTCAAACAATTATACCACACCAGAGGATCAAACAGATAATGTTATTCTTTATGAATGATGATTTTAAAAGGTATTAATGAAGATGCAGACAGCAACAAAAAGCTTGGTTGCAGTGTTAGACTTTGAAACTAGAAAAATTCAAGTTGAATATCGAGTCTTGCTTGCTTTGTCACTTTGTTCAAGCTGTTTAATTTCTCTGAGCCTCTATTCCTTTACCAGTGAAATAAGGGTAAGTATATCCATGTCACTCAGTTATCCTCAGGATTAAATGTGAGAAAGCATGTAAATACATAACACACAGTAACCACTCAAATTATCTCTTTTCCTTTCTTGCCTCTTTACCCAGATGAACTTCCCCTTCAAGAGACTTAATTCTATGTAATAAATTGCCTCAGTTTATACAAGTAGAATACTAAGACATATTATCCTATCTGCAGTCTCTACTCAAACTTAATATCTAAAAACATTAAAAAGATTGAGGATCTTCACCTACATAGACTCCTGAGGGATTTACATCAAAAATAAGTAAATAGAACAAAGTGATACATAATACCTGTTCATAGTGTTCTATGAGCACATTTATGCATTCTACCATTTATATAAAAGGAATATTCTGGTACAAAATATAGGTCAAGCTAAATATTTTGGTTTTGTCTGTTGTATAGCAGGCAAACCTTGTCTGAGGAAGTATGTCCTTGTTAAATCCCAGCCCAGCTTCAAAGGTAGCCTAAGTTCAGTTCAATAAGGGATAAATCACCATAGTCTCTACTAGTACTAATTATTAGGTTTCAAGTGTTAGGATTCCAACTCTTGCTCATAAGATTCTTTGTGTCTTAGTCTCCATTCTCTGTTTCTGATTTAGTCTGTACTAGTAATTTTGTTTTGTTTTATTTTATTTTAATTTTATATCTAGGGTTTGTATTCCTCCAACACTGGCTCTATGTTATAACCATACTTTCAACTTGTTTTATAAATTCTTGAAGAATAAACCCTCCATAGTCATTCATCCATCCAGCAAAAGTTTGCTAACTTCTGGTGGTAGAGGGGAAGGTGAGTAAATGCATGATTAGACTGCAGTGTGGCATGGGTCATGATAGGAGAATGCACAGGAAGAATAGAGAATGCACAGGAAGAAATGGCAGAATCAGAAAAGGATTTTGAGAGGAAGTAATGCTTAAGTTGAGTTTCAATGAATGAGTAGGAATTAAGAATGTTAAACGTCTTCCCTAGGCAAAAGTGTGAAAAGCAGGCCTTTTCTAGGTGAAAGCAGGATGGTTTTGTGCAATGGCAAGTTATTCTTTATGACTAGGGGTATGGAATACATATAGCACAGGTAGGTAGGAGCCAGATCAGGAAAGGGCCATGGCTATCAGAATTAGAAGTTAAACATTTTTTCAATAAGCATTTCTTGTTTTTACTTTTCCCTTTTTGAGAAGGGTCTGGCTCTGTTGCCCAGGCTGGAGTGCAAGGGCACGATCTCAGCTCACTGCAACCTCCACCTCCCAGGTTCAAGCAATTTTCCAGCCTTAGCCTCCGGAATAGCTGGGATTACAGGCACCCGCCATCATGCCTGGCTAATTTTTGTATTTTTGTAGAGACGGGGTTTCACCACATTGGCCAGACCTGGCTAAAACTCCTGACCTCAGGTGATCCACCCGCCTCCGCCTCCCAAAGTGTTGGGATTACACGCGTGAGCCGCCTCGCCCAGCCAAGCATTTCTGGATTAGAGAGTAGGGAAACATGGAGATCCTAAGAAATTTAAGAACATTGATATGATCAGATTTGAATTTTAGAAATATTCGTGGCAACAATGCTGGTTAGGAGATTGGTGTGGACTTTTTAGATTACTTGAATGGGATAGAGAGGAAGGGAGCATTTGAGAGATGTTTAACAGTAATATATAGGATGTGCTTTATTATATGTAGAAACTGTTTAAGAAAAGGAGAAATCTAGGAGATTCAAAGGCATCTGAAAAGACGACAGTCTCATTTATGATGGTAAAGAATACAGGAAGTGGATTGGTTCTCAGCATGCTTGGTATGCTAAATTTAAATTTAAGGGTCCTGTAGAATATCCAAGTAGAATGTCCACGAGGCTGTTATATATGGGGTTCTTTTAAATTTAATTTTTATTTTTAAAGAGAGTCGCACGCTCTGTTGCTAATGCTGGAGTGCAGTGGCACAATCATAGCTCACTTGCAGCTGCACTTTTGGGCTCAGGAGATCCTCCTGCATCAGCCTCCCAAGTAGGCAGGACTACAGGTGTGCACTGCCATGCCTGGCTAATTTTTTATGTTTATTTTTATTTTTAGAGATGGGAGGGCCTCACTATGTTGCCCAGGCTAGTCTTGAACTCCTAGAATCAAGCAATCTTCCAGCCTCGAGCTGCCAAACCACTGGGATTATGGGAATGAACCACTATACCAGCCCATATGTGGTTCTTGAACCAAAGAGTAATGGCTCTAGATTTAGATTTGGGGAGTCATTAGCATATCAATGATAGTTAAAGTCATAGTGTAGGTGGAGTTACCTATTAATCTATATGAGGCCTGCAGAATAAGAGCAGAGAACTGGGAATAGAATTCTAAGGAGTTAATATCTTCAGGAAATATTTAATTGAATCCCCATAACAGTATGAATACCCCTGAAATTCACTGTGCTAAGAATTAAGGTGATAATGGTAAATCAGTAAAACCAACCTCCGTCCCTTGCCTTCTTCTGTCCCTTCCATTGAAAAATATTTATTAATCACCTATTGTAGGCCAGGCATGGTGGCTCACATCTGTAATCCCAGCACTTTGGGAGGCAGAGGCAGCCAGAACACCTGAGGTCAGGAGTTCGAGACCAGCTTGGCCAACGTGGTGAAACACATTCTCTACTAAAAATACAAAAATTAGCCAGGTGTGGTGGCACACGCCTGTAGTCCCAGCTACACCAGAGGCTGAGGCAGGAGAATCGCTTGAACCCTGGAGGTGGAGGTTGCAGTGAGCCAAGACTGCGCCACTGCACTCCAGCCTGGGCAAAAGAGCTAGGCTCCATCTCAAAAAAAAACAAAAACGACAACAAAAAACATAAAACAACTCACCTGTTGTGTTCAAGATACATATGAGATGCTAGGAATTCTACAAGAACAAGACATAAAAGGTTCCTGTCCTTGCAAAGGGTATATTCTAATGTAAGAGAAATAATTCAATAAACTGGAGAAGAAATAAAATAATTACAAACATTGATATATTCTAGGAAAGAAATAAAGAAGGTGTTAAACAAAGAGGATCATCTTAGATCATAAAGTCAGGGAAGTTCTCCTCAAGAGGTGGCATTTAAGCTAAAACCTGAGGAATAAAAAGGACCATGAACTGATAGGATCAAAGGAGATCCAAACTAAGGGAGAACAAGCTCACACAAAGTTCCCGAACTTGGCCTGGTAAAAGGGGAATTAGGTGGAGATGAAGCTGCAGACCTCAGCAAGGGACCCGTACAGTCTCTCTTTATATTCTAACAAAAGAGACCCACAGTAAACCACTCATTATGCTACTAATTAATTAATAGCAGTAGCAGAAAGTGCTCTAAAGGGGAAAGCTGACACCAGAGAAACACTGTAATTTGAAGGCACAGTGAGGAGGCTGAGTCTGGGAAGGAAGTTGAGACAGCCCAGCTAGAGAAGTCGAGTTGGAAACTGGGAGAATGGTATTATAATATCCAAGCCAAAAGAATGTTTTAAGAAGAAAACCATGAGTCTAAGCAAAGAGTTGAAGATAATCATGAGACAATGTTCTATGTCTTGGTCAATATGGAGGTTATTCAACTAAGCTAAAATCACCTTAAGGGAGGGTTGGGTCAGAAGTCATATTGTAGATTTATGAGGAGGAAGAGGGCAGTAATAGTAGTAGAGAGCAGATCATCCTTTTAGTTAACTAGATTATGATGACAGTGAGCAATATAATTGCTTAACTGGAAGGGTATGTGGATTAGAAGAAATTGTATTATTATTATTATCTTTTTCTGAGACAGAATCTTGCTCTGTTGCTTAAGTTTGAGTGCAGTGGCACGATCTCGGCTCACTGCAACCTCCGCCTCCCAGGTTGAAATGATTTTCCTGACTCAGCCTCACGAGTAGCTGGGATTACAGGCACCCACCACCACGCCTGGCTAATTTTTGCATTTTTGGTAGAGACGGGGTTTCACCATGTTGGCCAGGATGGTCTTGAACTCCTGACCTTGTGATCCGCCCGCCTCGGCCTCCTAAAGTACTGGGATTACAGGTGTGAGCCACTGCGCCCAGCCAAAGTTTTATTTTTTTAAAAGAGAAGATCTGGGGGCATATTTATCTGTTAATTATTCCCCAGTTAGAGGGGTGCTGCCGAAATCTGAGGGGAAAAACACAAAGTCCTTTACTAGGCAGAAGGAGATTACATTCAAAGCATCAGATGGACAGATTATTCCTACATATTTTACTTTGGTTTGTTGTTGTTGATGATGATGATCTTTTCTTCCGTTATGTCTTCTGATTGAATTGTTATGTGAATCTATAAAGTCTCTTGTTACTTTGCTCCGTATGTTAGCATCAATGCCATTAGATATAATAAATAAATGTAAAAAATAAAACCATAAAAATTCTAGAGAACACACGTGGAATAATTGTGAAGGAGGTGCGGTCCACCTAACAATGAGACAAAACCCAGAGTCCATAAAAGAAAATACCAATAATTTAACTATGTTAAAAAAAATCTTCATAGTACAAACCATAACAAAGTTAAAAGTAAATGGCAAAGTAGGAATGATATTTTCAACTCATAATTTCCCTAATATGTGAAACACTCCTATAGGTCAATATGAAAAAGACCAACAATTAAATAGAAAAAAGGGGCAACGTACTACAGTTGGTAGAAAATATCTCTTTTACATATGAACATTATTCAACCTAATTTATAAAGACAGCAAATTAAAGACATTTTGAAAAACCTATCAGATTGGGAAGGGTCAGACTGTGTAATAATATTGTGTTGGTGAGGCTGTAGAAAGTAGATGCTAGCTTATGGAAGTATAAAGTGGCAATGAATCTATAGACAGTATTTGGGTAGTATCTATCAAAATTAAAACGGAACGTATTCTTTGACCTAGGAATTCTACTTCTAAAAACTTATCCTCAGTTATACATATTCCATCTATGTGAAATGACATATGTTCAGACATATTAATTAAGGCATTTTTAACAACAATACATTAGAAACATCCCAGATGACAATCAATAGGAGACTGGTTAAATGACAGCCATTAGTGGAATGAATACTATTCAGTCACAGAAATAAATGAGGAATCTATGGCCATACCACTCTGAATGCACTCAATCTTATCTGATCTCGGAAGCTAAGCAGGGTCAGGCCTGGTAACTACTTGGTACGGGAGACCACCTGGTGGTAGTGGGTGCTGTAGGTCTTAAAAACATTTTAAAAAAAAAGAAAAGAAAGAAACAAGGAGACTCTTTATGTCTTGCTAAGCATTGATATATAAGAGCATATATATATATATATACATTTTTTTTTTTTTTGAGACGGAATCTTGCTCTGTCGCCCAGGCTGGAGTGCAGTGGTGCGATCTAGGCTCACTGCAACCTCTGCCTCCCGGGTTCATGCCATTCTCCTGCCTCAGCCTCCCGAGTAGCTGGGACTACAGGCACCTGCCACCACGCCTGGCTAATTTTTTGTATTTTTAGTAGAGACGGGGTTTCACTTTGTTAGCCAGGATGGTTTCAATCTCCTGACCTCATGATCCGCCTGCCTTGGCCTCCTAAAGTACTGGGATTACAGGCGAGAGCCACCAAGCCCGGCCTCCAAAATATATTTCTTGATGCAAAAAGCAAGTACCATTATGTGTAAAATATACATATCACTTGAATATGCACAAAATATCTCTAGAAGGATATACAAGAAACTGATAATATTGGTTGTCTCTAGGGAAGGGAACTGTCTATGGGACAAGGGTATAAAAACACTTTCTGCTTTTTTGTACCTTTTGAATTTTAAAACATAAATATATTGTTAATTAAAAAAATTCTAAATGCAGTTATGATGCACATTAAGATTATAAATAATTCACAGCTTTTAAAAAGAAATATTTTCCAAGAATAATGCTTCAAAGAGTCAATCACATGCAAAATATATGCTGGTAAATACTTCTCACCAGATTTAAGTTATTATAAAACATTCCCTGAGTAAAACCACTGACAAAGTAACACAAAAGTAACTTAACTTTGACCCTAGTGCCATGGTAATGTCTAACAGACACTGTCAGGTTGGTGACAGGGTCTGGTATTATATATAGGAAGAGAGAATTAGTAAGCAAGAATTCTGATTCGAAATAAACAGGTGAGAGGAAAATTAGATAAACTGTATTAGATCGCTTCAAGAACACTATGGAAATATAATAATTTATATCCATGAATGAGATATTTCCCATCTACAGATATCAAAAACTTGATCAATGCTACTATCCTATACAACTAACAAAACCTGGAAGAGGAAGCAGAAAGTAATCCTTTGGTTATAGGAACATAAAAAATGTACTGTGTATCAAGCCCTGTATTCTGTCACTTAGTGCCACTAATTTAGAGTCAGGCTTCCTGACAGTTCATCACATTTCCCTCAAAAGAGTAGGACTGTACCTTCAACATTCTTAACCTTCTCTTGAATGTCATTTCTTAATCTATTAATCAAAATTTATCTGAACTCTTACTGAGCCTCATTTATTCATTTATTCATTCCCTTAGGGAGGACTATATATATATGTGTGTGTGTGTGTATTAAAAATCCCATATATACACACATATATACATATATGTGTGTGTGTATATAGTATATATATACATATATATGTAGTTGGAATATATGAAGGGTGACATTACTAGTTATTCTTCCCACATGAGGGATGAGCAAGGATGCCCTGTGTTGCTCTTCCATCAAGGCAGCTGGGCGTAATATAGGAGCTGCTTCCCAAATCTCTTCCCCTCCAGTCTCAATATCTTCCAGATCAAATCCAGGATATCAAACACTCAGTTCCTAAGGGGCCAGTGTCTCTCTTCCATTTTCGTCATGTGAAATGAAGAGAAACAAAATGTGCGGGTATATACTATATATAGTCTCATCTCTAGACACTTTTAAACTCTCTGCTATTGGGGTTTTTCATATAATTAAATTTTATAGAGTCCTTAAAAAGTATACTTAAAAGTTTTCCATAATGAACCTAAATTATTTTTCATTTTTATTCCATTTGTCATTTCTTTTTTACTCTCCACCTCCTCACCTACCACCATACCCCACTTAATCCCTCTCCCACTCTCTTAACTTTTATCTACATGTCTTTACCCATGAAGGCAGCATTATTTGTTCACATTAAGACCATATGGTAGCCATTGTTATCATTATGTTAGACTAAAACCTCTAAGGATGCAAGTTTCATGATGTTGTTACTACCAAGGTGCTGTCAGTATATATGTTTTCTTTTGGGAAGAAGAAAAAAGGAATTGCGATTATAGCGAAATGCCAGTCAAAATTGGATGGGATGGAGATGCACAGAAAAAAAAGAAAACTTCCTGTAGTTATTTTAAGCTATGAAAATGTATTCAAAGTAGAGCTAGGTCCTATGAATTTAGCTATAACTATATTCTTCTATAGTTGTTTTTCCCTAAGCTTCATGAGGAAGCTAGATCATCATGTCACTGCTGCGTAACCTGTGCTTAGTGTGGCATTTGACACAAAATACATACTCAAAAAATTTTTTTGAAAAATAAATTAATGAAGAAATGTTATGTGGAATGTGGTGATTAGAAAATAAGAAAATACTGTTGAGATGCTTCTGAGGGCAATAAAATTATAATGCTTTCCCTACAGCTTTTTCAACATACCAGCCCTTTAAATACTAAAGTGAAAATGAATAGAGTTGAAATTAGAGTAAAATTTTTAAATGTGTTCACATAAGTGGCTCAGTAGAAATCCGTATTTACAAATCAGAAGAAAAATCAGAACAAATTTCACATATTCCCAATATGGCAAATGAGTTTACATATGCATTTCTTTTGGCACATTCATAAAGAAACATTATAGAACAAGATACCACCACTAGCTTTTTGATTACTCCTGAATAACTTACTATAGATACACAAAGATACGGATGAAATATTTCTTATGTCTTACACACAGAATTTCACACGTTTTATCTCAAATTATTTCCCTTCACAGAAACCTCAACACTGAAATAGGGATAATAGTATAAGAATGAAAAAAGAACTCTTAGGGCCAGGCTGATGGCTCATGCTTATAATCCCAGCAACTTGGACGGCTGAGGCAGGAGGATCGCTTGAGCCCAGGAGTTTGAGACCAGCCTGGGCAATATGGGGAAACCCCCATCTCTACCAAAAAAAAAAAAATAGTCAGACATGGTGGCATATGTCTGTGATCCCAGATATTTGGGAGGCTGAGGTAAGAGGGCTGTGCCACTGCACTCCAGCCTGAGTCACAGAACAAGACTCTACCTCAAAAACAAAAAAAAAACACAAATTGAAAAAACCTCTTAGCAGTTACTGGGCGTCTTTCATCTTCAATGAACCTGGTGTTCAATAAGGTTTACTGACTACATATATAACATAGTTAATTGTAGAAAAAGTTTACAAAAGTAATCTTCCTTTACAAATGGTTTCAATTAAGGATATATATACATGTATGTACAATGTTAACATTAAAATATTAAAATATATTTTAAAATTCACTTACGATTCTGTTACCTTCACTCCCATCAAGAACTGATGCATTTTCTGCATTTTAAATACCAATTTTTAACAGAATTTATTTGTTTAAAAAGTAATGTAAATTTATTAAAGTTAATATGAAAAATACCAAAACATGGAATTTTTTGAAATCAGTTTTACCATTCAAAGCTCAATCATTTTGTAGATATAGACAGTAATATACAAGAATTTCAGTTGCAATGGTGTAGCTAAATAATCTAAGTCTCCCAACAACACAGTTCAAATTTTAGTTACCATAGCATGTTAACTATGAATAATTGAATAAAGTATAAACTTCACTGCTAGATCTTTAGTCCATAAATCACTACATACACAACAGATATGCATCATGATCAATAACCAATCATGTCACTTCTTTCAAAGTTTTTGGTGACTGATCACTGAGCAACTGTTAGTTCATGCACAGACAGCAAGTAATATAGTTGTGTTGTCTCCTTGTCTCCAAGTGATAAACCTATGTGACATTTTACAAAACGGAGAATCAAAAGAGGAAATTGGCCAACCACGATGAAAATGCAGCAAAGAAACAAAAAGTGATAATGCTGAATGTGAAATTCAAATAGAAGGTAAATCAAGCTATAGAATAAAGAGCTGACAATGGGAATGTTGACACTGCCACCGTTGAAGACTACGTACACAACCAGAGGAATTTAGTGAAGGTGAACTTAATGACATAAATGAGGAAAGTGATTGTGACAAAAAGACAAAGATGCACCAGTGGAACTGACACTGGCAAAAAGGTTCACATTAAAGAAATTTTCAGAGACATTTCATAAAATTGAAGGCTCAAAAGAGAAAATGTTGGAAGCTGATCCAAAGTTAGAAAGGAGTGTGATAAGTCACCAAGGCATAGAAAAGACATTCTATATCGAAGATGACAAGCACTGTTCAAGCTATGCTCGAAAAGAATTTTACAAAGAAATAAAACTTTCACTTCTTAGAATATCGAATGCTTTACAATATAGTACACTATATTCATGTTGGTTTTACTATTTTCTCATTTCTTTATACACTTATAATTGACAGTAGGAGTTTTTTAAATGTTTTCACAAATATATTAAGCATGGAACGATCATTATTTTTCCCATTGCTCATTAAGATTCTTTGCACAATTTTAACTTGCACAGTTCTTTTTATAGTGTCATACTACTGTGAAAAACAGTGACTGCCTATATATATAAAGGTTTCTTTCTTTCTTTTTTTTTTTTTTGAGACAGAGTCCCACTCTGTCATCCAGGCTGGAGTGCAGTGGCGCAATCTCAGCTCACTGTAACCTCCGACTCCTGGGTTCAAGCGATTCTCTTGCTTCAACCTCTCAGGCAGCTGGGATTACAGATGCCCGCCACCACACCCAGCTAATTTTGTTTTGTTTTGTTTTGTTTTTTTAGTAGAGACGGGGTTTCGTCATGTTGCTCAGGCTGGTCTCGAAACCCTGACCTCAGGTGATCCGCCCGCCTCGGCCTTCCAAAGTGCTGGGATTACAGGTGTGAGCCACCGCACCCAGCTGAAGGTTTCTTTTTAAAAATATGGTTGTGATTAAATTGAACTTCTGCATCTGGTAGTGAATTTTGCCAGAATGACTCTTTTTCAAAGCTATTTTATCCAGGTACAGGGTTATTAATGTAATAAAACACCTTTTGTTGTTGTTTTTATGTTTCATACAGATGCTCTTGCAAAAGGAGACACAAATTCTTCCACATTTTTGCAAGTTTATTACTTCGGTCAGTGGTGAGTGGCTCACTCAGGTGAAGTGTCCCCTAGAATGGTGTTTCTCAATGATCCAAGTCTTTATATAATACTCTCCCTGAGAGTAAGTAGAACCTGTGACTTGTTTCTAGCTAATAGAATATAGCAAAGGTGGTGAGATGTTACTTCCTTAATTAGGTTTTGTTATATAGCTCAGGTGATGAGATGTGACTACTGTGATCACTTTTTATTATACAAGACTCCATTTCAGCAGACTTTATCCTTCTTCTGCTGGCCTTGAAGAAGTAAGCTGTCATGCTGTGAACTGCCTATGAAGACGGTAGCCTTTAGAAACCAAGACCTCAATCATATTAGCTATAAAAAAAAGTTTGCAGACAACTTGAATGAGCTTGGAAGCAGATTCTTCTGAAAAACTTCCAGGTGAGACCACAACACAGCCAACACCAATTGCAGCCTTGTGAGATCCTGAGAAAAGGACCTAGATGATCCACACCAGGTTCCTAACCCACAGAAACTGCAAAATAATAAATATGTATTGTTTTAAGTTGCTAAATTTGTGGGACCTGGCAATATAGCACTGGAAAACAAATACACCAGGCATAAAATTTTTAGTTCAGAGACTTGTTCCTTCAAAACTGTGTAGATATGGCCCAAGCCATAATGCATGAAGTATTAGGGTTAACAACTGTAATACTAAATATTTGGCATTAAAAAGGGAAACAAAATCTGAAATCAGTGAATTTTGCCCACCTGATTTATAGGAAACCTCCTTCCCCCACCTGTATAATTGATAAAAAATTGTAAAATTATAAGAAATTAGCCAGGAATTATTAAGATATAATCTCCTTCTCTTTCCCTTTCTACATATCTTTATTTTCTTTTATTCATTAGTTTTCAAAAATATTTCTTAGAGTTTATGTTAGGTTACCATTTCTACATGAAGTGTTTTGATTTCTTCCCAAACATTTGATCAAGAAATGTCTGTATTCAGGAACTCCCACTATGTTTAGGTTTGAACTCCATTCTCTCCCTATTATTATTTCATATTTTGAAGCCTCTGTGCATTTTCTTTGGATTGTGGGAGAATACAAATTTCTCCCCTCTATTAGGGAGTTGACTTAGCTTTTAACTATTATCTCTCCAAAGCAAAATTTAATTCTAACATTATATTTTAATGTCTCTGCAATCCTTATTTTATCACATTTTTATCTCACTCTTCAAACTTACACCATTTTCTTCTCATCTCAGCCTATTCTGATCTTATAGGTCTCTTTCTGTTTTACAAATCTTGTGTTTTCTTGAATCCTATTGAATATGTCAAGCAATTTTCTATTTCTTCTCTTTTGGATGATATAGTACAGTGCTCTTTGAATGTATTCTTCCCCTCAGTTGATAGAAAGGACTTTTTTCCTTTTGTTCTACATTTTTCATCTTCTTCTTAAGTAGTGATATATCTAGCCTTGCACTTCCCAACAGACAGGTTTGGTGGATTACATTTACTAAAGTCTCCTCTAGTCACATGGATAAGACTGAATTTTCTCAGTTCTGCATCTGTGGCCTTATAAAATAAACAGATACTAGCCCAGTTATAAGATGGCTTTCATCTAGTGTAGCTCTGCTGGATCAAGGAGAATCCCTATTCTCCTCCTTTCTGACATATTCACATAACAATATGGCACAGATGTTAGAAGGGTAGGCTCTAGAATCAGTGGAGCTGTATGAATATACCAAGTGTCACTAGTAATGCTAAAGTGGCCAAGTCATTCAACTCTCCACTTCAGATTTCTTGTAAATAAAATGGGGCAACAGTACAAAAAATCCCATTAATTGCGAGCATTAAATGAGATAATGCACAGGAAAGGCTTAGCACAGCAGTTAACTTTGTAAGCACTCACATATTAGCCTTCCTCTAATTTGATTGTTAATATAATACAGAAAACCAAACCCCTCTAGGTATACTGTTCCCAAAATTCTGTTCACTACCACCTCTATGGCTTTATTTGTAAGAATGTTCTTTCCAGAATACAAAACATTATGTTACCATAGGCTTCCTCTCTAAAATATCATGCTCATTTCCCCAATCAGGTTGCTGTTTCTGACATTATGCATAAAGAAAGAATGAGGAGAGGGCAAAAGGAATAGAAACTCAAGTGGCTTAAAAAACTAGTTATATAAAGTTAATAAAATAATTTTCTCATTGTGACATACCTCATGTTGCAGAAGAAGATGAGAGTGGCATCACAGTAGCTCAGGTGGTCCTCCAATTTCACTAAATGTTTAGAGTTTTTGTAGGTTTTGAGGACAGTGCAAATTTCTTAAAAATTCTAGGTCTAGTTTGACTGTGAGTTGGCTTTGGCTAACTTATCTACCGGCCCTTGAAGCACATGTACCTACCTTCTCTGAGTTTCAGATTTGAAAACAAAACTGCCAGTTATAGACATACAAATAACTACACATCCCTGAAACTCAGTGCTTGATTCTGAATCTGTGAAACGGTTTCTTTTACTGTAGATCCTGTCTCCTTGAATGCACCATTATCCTACCAGTCAGCCAAACATAATACCCCAAGGTAATTTTTATTCTTTCTTCTACCTCAATTCTATTTTCAATCAGCCAGTAACTACTGCCCAATCATTTCTATAATGCCTCTTCAGTCCAACGCCTTCTTGGTCATTTATACTCCCTCAAGTTCTAATTCCATACCTGGCCATTTTTCATTTGGACTATTGTTACAGTCTCTGAAGAGGTCTCCAGGCTTCTAATGTCTTGCATCTCCAATCAATACTACTCGTTGTTGCCAGAATTATCTTCCCAAAATACAAATCTCTTTAGGCCACTACCCTTGTCAAATACTAAAAAGCTCTCTCAATCCTAAAGAAGATAGTTTATTTTTCCTTATTTGAAATTTAAAGTCTGTCACCACCTAACACTAACTCCTTTCCAGGTCCATGTCCCCACAACATGCTTCAGTGCCAGTGCCACCCTCAGAGCACATTTAGAACACATGCTTTCCACCAGGTTAGTTTTTTAATCTCTTTCTATTGGAGCACAATATGTTGGCAAACACCTCGATCAACCCAAACCTTATCGTCCGAGGCTCAGCACAGCGCCCACCTCTATGCAGTGATCCACAGGGCACCTGGATTAGCAATAAATTATTTCTCTACTATCCCCTTACTTTAATTTTTCCCTTCTATTACATTTATCTCATTTTGTCTTTTATTATTATTGTTTACACATAAACCAGACTGGAGAAATGATGTGCTTTATTTAGTCTGATCTACAATCTGGCAAAATGCTTTTGCACATAGTAGGGGTTCAAAAAATATTCCTTGAGGTTATTAGGGTTAACAACTATAATATGTAAATACTGTTTTATGATAATCATTATTATTAAAATATGCACACAAATGCTCATATTTCATATAGAAATGAAAATGAGTAAGATTCTATTATAATTTCTACTTTTGGCATGCTCCAGTATTTTGGGGTCATTTAATCTGCTGTGAAGATGTAATGGCAAGAAAAAAACATGTAAATGTGAGTTTCCAGGGCACAGACTTCCATCCTGCATTGTAATTACACTTAATTTGACTCTGAGTTCTTGACAAGTACAACTCTGAGTTAAACCATACTGTGGGTTTGTTAATACTATTTGTATAGCATTTAGAAATTTACAAAATGTTTTCACATTTCTAATGGCATTATGTCATTTGTGAGACAGTATACTTTTTACTGCCCATTTCTTATGGGCTCAGAAAGATCAAGATATGTGAAAGAATAGTAAGAGGTAGAATTGGGACTGGAACTGAATTTAAATTATTATTATTCCAAATCCAAGGTCTGGGTCACTACGCTTACTACAGTTTCATTTTGCTGAATCCTCATTATGTCTACAAGCCCCATTCTCTGCATATCACGGTTTATGGAAGCCTTTAGTAGAGGCCTAAGCAAGCTTGGATACTTAATGGGGTGACCACAGAATTTACCCGGACTCATTTGAGAGCAAATAGAGGCATTATAAATAATTACCAGATGAGGCAGATGTAAATCAGGACTGACCTAGGCAAACCAGAATGTTTGATATCTCTACCAGCCTTAAAAATGAAGAAAACCATATTTATTCCTCTGCAAAACCAACGTATAGAAAGTTATTTATGAATTTTCTATTTTGAAATATTTATTAGTTTCTATTAGAAAAACTGTAAAAATATTTGAATGCAAGCTTTCAGTAGAAAACCTGTCCCTCCATCCAAAACAACCATAGATTGACATAACATATGAGAGACTATTCTGAGAACAACAAATATCTTTCTTAGGCATTGTTATACACTGAATGTTTACATCCACACAAAAATTTGTATTTTGAAATCTTAACCTCCAATGTGATGATATAACACGTGGGGCCTGTAGGAGGTAATTAGGTTATGAGGGTGGAGGGTTTATGAATGGGATTCGTGTCCTCATAAAAAAGGCTCCATAGAGTTCTCCAGTTCTCTTTTTGCCAGGTGCGGATTCACTAAGCTTACCATCTGCAAACCAGGAAGTAGATCCTCACCAGCCACTGGATCTGCCAGCACCTTGATCCTGGACCTCAGCCTCCAGAACTGAGAAATGTCTGTTGTTTAAGCCACTCACGTTATGGTAATTTGTTAAGGCAGCCCAGACAAGCATATTCAATCCTGTACTTAACATTGTAAATAGTCATATAGTTGAAATCAGGCAACATATTGAAAGTATCCTTGAATCTCTGGCATATCTAAAGTTTCTATCTCCATGTTTTACAGATTCATTTAATTATTTTTTCTAATTAAGAACCTTAAAATACCATGCTGTGAAGCTAAAGGCTATAGCCTGATTTACAACAAATATCAATAAATAATTTCGTTTTTTAAGGCTATTTGAAGGGAGTTTGCTTTCAAAACTTGAAGTTCAGCCTTACTTTTCCATGGTAAAATTTAATCACTCGTAATAATCAAAATTTTTGTAAGCAAAATTAGTCTTCTATTATAAAATATGCTAGCCACAGGGCAATCATTCTTATTGAAAAATCACTGAAATTCTAATTATTTAAGAAAAATTCTAACTTGTTAGTTTATGTAACACACTGACATTTATCTGTTAATTCAAAATGATAAAACATCTTCAAGGAACTTTGCAACACCTCCAGCTCAGTCAATATGTAAAACATTCTTCCAATGAGAAATCAGGTAGTTCAAAACTCTGCTACCAATTAATTGGTCATTAGGCCAACAAACATTTACTGATGGCAGAAATGCCATGCATAAAAGGTCAGGAACAGTTTCATCCTGAGGAGGCAAATCAGGTTTTCATGAATTCCCTTAATTCCAGTTTGGGAAAGTAATTTAATACCCAAATAAGCATGGCTGTAAGATTTTAATGTAAGTAAAGTACTCTGAGAACAGTTTGTAATGCTCAACATTGAAAGGGTATCTTTCTTTGGTTTTATGATAGTGGGTAAAGTTTTGATATTAATTAATACAACTCTGATGTCTTTGCACCTGAGCCTCAACTTTGATGACCTCATATTATACCAGTTGCTCTTTGGCATTGACTAGGCACCACTGGAAAAACTGGCATCATGGTGGAATATGATGTTCCATAAGAAAAAACTTCCAAATAGTCATCATTTTGCTGCACACACTGGCCCACTAATTAACGCCACAGTGACACCAGAATATGATTGTCTTGTACTCAAGTTGTCAACATAACGTTTTTGTGTTATTTTTAGGGCTATTTCAAGGCTGTAAAAGTAACCCTGAAATAATTTCATAATGTCTACAGTATTACAATTGCATAGTTTTCTATTTTTGCTAAAGAATATTAGTATTTTACTGACCCATATTTTAGACCAATTCCTAGATTCCTTGGATTTTAATACAATGGTCTTTAATACAGGATGATTAAAATAGGTAAAATAAATGCAAATAAGTATTTTTCTTTCCCATTATTGATATGCGTAGCTCATGAAGGATTCACATAAGCATGGAAAATATACTGAAATATTATTAAGATTTTGTTGTCTCCATATTGAAAATAGCAACCTGATTGACAGGATTTAAGGAGGCTTTGGGGGTGAAATGTAGGTTTTTCACTGGAATACAGATAAAATATTATATTGATATATTATTATTTGTATAATAAACCACAGAAAACTGTAGCAAATATTCCTTCCTTGTGACTAAATTCAAAGTAATCATAGGAATCTTTTAGGTGCTCTTACAAGTCATGAGTAAAAATGTTACTTAAAAGATACTTATAGCTATATATCAATACTTAAATATAACCCATTTATAAGCTGCTTCCAAGAGATACAAGTTAAATATAAAGACACAGAAAGGCTAAGAGTAAAAAGGTAGTAATAAATATAACTTGGAAGCAGTAAGCAAAAGACAGCTGGTGTAGCTATCCTAACAGCAAAACAGAAAGATATTAAGATAAAAATTATTAGAATTAAGGATATTTCAGAATGGTAAAAATTGCATATTACCAGACAAATATAACAATTCTAAATATGCTTTCTCTTAATAAAATGACTTTAAAACACATAAAGGAAAAAATTACACAACTGAAAGGAAAAACAAATATACATTCAAAGTAGGGGATTTTAAAACCTCACTCTCAGTAACTCAAGAAAAGCAGATATACATTCCATAAGATTACAGAAGTTGTGAACAACACAATTAATACATGATCTAATTGTTACACACACATATATCTCTATGCATATATAGATCTTTACATTATATATATAAAGTGCTGTATAAAATGATGGCAAATATATACTTTTTTTCTAGTATATATGGAACTGTATCAAAATAAACCATATTCTTGGCTATAAAACAAATTTCAACGAATTTCAAAGGCTTGAAATCACTGATGTTTTTTGACCCCTATGAAGTTATAACTTAAGAGATCTTAAAATATTTGAAATAAAATGATGAACTTCTAAGTAATCTATGTGTTAAAAGTCATAATTGAAATTAAAATATATTTTAAACTGAGCAATTATAAAACTACAATATATCAAGTTGTAGGATAAAGCTAATGCGTGTTAAAGGGAAATTTATAGTCTTAAATGCACACATTAGACATAAAGAAAGGCTGAAAAATTGATCATCTGAATCTACCTTAATAGGTTTAAAAAGGAACAGTAAATGAAAACCAAAGAACTAGAAGAAAAGAAATAATAACGTTAAGAATAGAAATTAATGAAATTTAAAAACTTGCAATCTGGATCACAGACATAATGTAAAGCATAAAACTATAAAACTTCTAAAATTAACATACGAGAAAATCTAGGTGACCTTGAGTTTGACAATGAATTTTTAGATACTACATCAAAAAGGCTGATCCATTTAAAAAATTAATTTTTATTCAGTAAGATGAAATTTCTATTCTGCAAAACACAGTTAAGACAATGAGAAGAGGCCAAGTGTGGTGGCTCACACCTGTAATCCCAGCACTTTGGGAGGCCGAGGTGGGAGGATCACCTGAGGCCAGGAGTTCAAGACCAGCCTAGCCAACATGGCGAAACCCTGTCTCTACTAAAAATACAAAAATTAGCTGGTTGTGCTGGTGCACATTTTTGTAATCCTAGCTACTTGGGAGACTAAGGCACTAGAATCATTTGAACCTGGGAGGCAGAGGCTGAAGTGAGCTGAGATCATGCCACTGCACTCCAGCCTGGGTGACAGAATGAGACTCTGTTTCAAAAAATTAAAAAAAAAAAAAAAGATACTGACAAGACAAGCCAAGACTGGGAGAAAACATTTTCAAAACACATATCTGATAAAGACTTATATCTACAATATACAAAGAACTCTTATAATTCAACAATAAGAAAATAACAACCCAATTAAAACTGGGCAAAAGATCTGAAGAGACACCTCACCAAAGAAGATACACAGATGAAAAATAAGCATATGAAATTATGTTCAATATCTTAAGTCAATAAGGAACTGCAAATTAGCAATGAGCTAGCACTTCACACCTATTATAATGGCTAAAATCCAGAACACTAACATCAAATGCTGACAAGGAGGTGGAACTCTCATTCATTGCTGGTGGGAATGTAACACAATACATCTACTATAGAAGATAATTTGGCAATTTCTTACAAAGCTAAACATAGTCTTACCATATGATCCAGCAATGTGCTCTCACATATTTATCCAGGTGAGTTAAAGACATATCTACACAAAACTCTGCACACAAATGTTTATAGCAGCTTTGAAACTGCCAATATTTGGAAGCAATCAAGATGTCTTTCAATAGGTGAATGGATAAGCAAACTGATACATCCACATAATGGGATTATCATTCAGTGAAAAAAAACTGATCTATCATGCCATGAAAAGACATGGAGGAACCTTAAATGCACATTGCCAAGTAAAAGAAGTAAATTTGAAAAGGCTGCATATTGTATGATTCCAACTATAAGACATTCTGGAAAAGGCAAAACTATTGCAATATTAAAAATATCAGTGGTTTCCTAAGGTTGAGCAGAAGAGATGGAACAATAAGGTGGAATACAGGGGATTTTTAGGGCAGTGAAACTAACTACCTGTAATGGTAGATATATGAATTTATGCTTTTGTCAAAAACTATAGAACTGTGAAAGACCAAGAGTGAATCCAATGTAAACCACAGTCTTTGGTTAATAATAACATATTCATATTACTTCATCCTTATAATGAATGCACCATACCAGTGCAAGATGCCAGTAACAGGGGAAACTGAGGGTGGGGAGTGGAAGAGGGAGTATAAGGGAACTCTCTGTATTTTATGCCTAATTCTTCTGTAAACCAAAAACTGGTCTAAAAACTAAAGTCTATTAATTTTTTTAAAAGTTTAGCCATATCTTTTAAAGGCAATAGGGAAAAATAAAATGAATGTTTCTTTAAGAAAAAGAATTGACATAATTTCATCAATACTTATCTTATTTTTAAAAAAAGACAGAAATAACCAGTACTGGAACTGAGAAAAGGACTGTCACTACAGATACACGCAAGATGGACTTGTTTGCCTGTTCTTGGACTGTAAAACCAATTGTATAGGCATTAAAATACAAGAACATTATAAAAAAAAGTTATACTACTTAATTTAATATTTTAGGTGAACTGAACAAGTTCCTAGAGATTCCTTACCAAAAATAGTAGAAAATCCATATAATCCCAATTCTATTAAATAAATTGATTTAGAAACGTCCCCACAAAGAAATTTACAGCCCAGTTGACTTTACCAGTGAATTCTTCCAAAGTTTAAGAAAGAAGCAATACTATTCTTCCACAAACTCTTGCAGTTAATTTAACATTTAAAATAAATCAATATAAGTCAATGTAATAATAAAGGAAAAGACAATGAGGTTATCTCAATACATGCAGAAAAAAGCAATTGAAACAATGCAATATTTGTTTAGACGAAAACCCTTGGCAAATTAGAAACAGATGGGAACTTCCTTAATCTGATAGAGTAGCTACAAAAACCTATAGCAAACATCATACTGAATAAAGAAATATAGAAAGCTCCCCCACAAGGTCGGAGATGAGACAAAGATGGCCATTGTCCCCACATCCATTCACCACTCTTACTGGAAGTCCCAGGCAGTACAATAAAGTCGAGGATAAAAAAGTATAGGGATTGGAAAAGAAATAAAAGTATCTTTATTCATGAATAAACGTGGCTGTGTATGTAGAAAATCCTAAGAATCTACAATCTATAAGAATGAATATGGGAATTTTGCAGTGTTGCTTAATCCAAAGTCAACATATAAAAAACAATTGTGCAGAGTAGTAACTGTGTGAGAGAGAGAGATGCTGGTAAATGTTCTATTTTACAATCTGAATGGTGGTTCCATGGGTGTATTCACTTTGTGAAAATCCATAGCTATGTATTTCTGGTTAATGTACTTTTTATAGAAATGTTATACTTCACAAAAACTTACTTTTTGTTGTTAATGGGTATAGCATTTCAGTTTTGCAAGATGAAAAAGTTCTGGAGACTGGTTGCACAACAATGTGAATATACTTAACACTATTGAACTGTACACTTAGAAATCTGTTATGCATTTTACCACAATTAAATTTTTTAAAAATTAAAGGTGACTTTAGAAAAGATAAATGTCATTAAGTAATGAATATTAAAGATAGGTGAATCTAAATAACATAGAAAAAAAAATCAAAGTGAGAAACCTGCAGCCCACCATTAGAGAAACTTCAACTCCCTCCACTCTACGCTGAGCAAAATTATCAGAACATTGATGACAGATGGAACACCATTCTTAGAAATCCAATTCTTCTGTTGTAAGGCAGTATCCATCAAAAGATATATCACTAATTTAATAATAGCTTTTGTGTAGGGAAAAAAGCACCACATTTATCCTCACCTATAGACATATCTAAATATGAAAGTGTATGAGAATACCAGTACAGAAAATGTGGGATGCATATGAGAATAAAGCAAGATGGATTGGTTTGCCTGTCCTTGGAATGTAAAACCAATGACTCAAAGTAGAACTAACAATCCCTTTTTCTTAGGGATCTTGGCCACAGTAGCACTCACAATTAAGCAGAATACAAAAAAAGTCAACATTATAGAAGGCAAAAATTTATTCTGGCATATATTTACTTATATATTGTTTAAATAACATGAACATAACTATTTAGTAGGCAAAGTATCAGGGATATAAGAATATGAAGTAGTGTTAGTTCCTGGAAAAGTCAAGGTTTACAAGAACATTTTTGCATTGTATCTGAGATAGAAACTTTCACTGTCCATATTGGCTTGACTAGATGAGATAATTCCTGAGTAGGTGCACAAGTGCACGTTTTCTTAAAGAAAAACTGACTATGCTCCTTCAGTGGAGTTGACTGTTGCATGCTTGCTGGTTGAAATAGCTCTACAAGTTTTGTCATACTTGATGGGAAGCAATATATCTTGCCAAAGAGCCTCCAGTAACCTACAAGGTGCTTTTGTACACTGGACAGATTTAACCCCTTAGGTACATGGTTTGGGGAATGGATGTAGGTTGGGTTATGGCCCCAATTACCCTGTAACCTGGTGCCCCTGTGTTGGACACAACTTACACAACTCTGTCTAGTCACCCAGCCTGGATGCACATTGGCTTACTGATGAAATGTAGTTGTCATTTTGCTGGCATTTATGGTGATGCCTGAATGTCATATCCTTTTGCATAAGATTATCTGTTTGTAATGATACAGCCTAATGAATTGGCAAAGAAGTAGAGGTTTCAGAATGGACTATAATGTATATAACATTGGAATATTACCTCTCCTTCATAGACCACCAATACTTTGCTTTTAAAGAGATTTTTAAATACTTTCAGTGAAATTATATTTGGCACACTTGCATAGTTTGCCTTCAAAGAACTGTATAAGTATGAAGAGACTGAGGGTTTCAGGCACAGATATATACTCCTGCCAGAAAGGCACATTAATAAATTATGGTACTTTTTCATTTCTAGAGTTAGTAACTCTAACCTTTTATATTTACATATAATAAGCTGACTGTTTTTTAAAAGGTTGCACACAGATTGTCATCTTAAGTTTGCAGCAATGATTTAAAATACATGATTTACATCATAAAAAATGAGCATTGAGAAGAGCCCCCAATTTTTTCTTACACACTACCAAAAGAAAGTTTTTTTGAATTATAATAATTCTGAATTATTTTTGATTAACAAAGAAAATGGTCTGCTACTTTAGTGTCTGTGATTACATTACAGTACAATAAAGAAAAGTCACTAATGAGTACCTCTGAGGTCAGGGCTGAGACTATAGCATTCAAATTTGTTTACTAATGAGGCCAGGACAAGACTGTGCTCCTAGGATATCAAGCTTTGTTATCACAACAAAATTTCAAGTACTGCCTTAAATACCAGACTAAGAATATCATCCTAATGTATAGTTTCTGAAATAAGTAACACTCTTCCAAATACCTGGGACACGTATGGAGGGGAGAGCTTTATCAGACAAGTCTTTTATTAATGGCAAGAAGAAAATGGGACATTCAAGATGCCGAAAAGAATTATTATAAATACATGTGCACCTTTGGTCACTGCTTTCTGATGAAGAAAATATTGTGCATAATAACTTGAGAATGTATTTAACATAAATTATATTTGCATGAATTATGATTATTCATATGGTCAGATACATAATGGCTTGCTTGTTAAATGGCTGATTAGTGTCACAATCAGCCCAAGAGGGATCTGCTTCAGAAAGCTCTCTCAGGGGCACCTGACTTTCTAGATATTTTCCATTTGCCTTTAAACAGTGAAATGGTGCTGATTTGGGCACCCCAAACAGCTTAATCCCAGCTTTCAATTTGCAATCTGGGCACTGCTACTCCAAGCTGGGATGCCTGCACAAGTTTGACAATTGCTTGCCATAAACTCCAGATTTCCAAGAAGCACAACCAAGTGGTCAATGAAAAACCACTCCAAGGAAATGGAGCTATTCATAAGGAGATAACATCAAGGGAACCATGACTTCTCTCTTTAATAAAAAGAGAAAAATGTGATATTTTAGTGAGGAAAAAGAATTGCTAACTGTACTAGCATTTTTAATCACTGTGTTTTGATAATGAGATGACTGCCTCTACCTGAGACTCAGCGTGACCTGTTCAGATGTGGGACATGCCTTCAGTATTAAGGAAAAAGAAGTTGAAATATTTCCTTATTATTAGGTAGCTGAATTACACTGAAACTACTCATATTATTATTATTTTTTTACTTCATGTCTTGCCTCAATAAGATTCCCAACTCTTATGGTAAACTCCTTCAAACTGACTTCAATTGTCACATTTTGGGGACATTTCCCCCGACTGATCCTCACCCTGAACTGGATATGTGATTCTCCTACAGCTTCTCCTATCAGCCTGTACCCTTCTGTATCATTGATTACGCTCTATCATAATGATTAGGTTGTTGATCCTTACACCTTTTTTGACTCCCCATGTTGTAATCTCTGGGGAATTAGCACTGTGGATTCTTTTCCTACAATGCTAAAGAGAATGCTTGCCCCTCATTTGACATTAAACTAATGGTGAATAAAACGATAAAATCCTTACAAACAACTTACCTCTATTATATACCAAAATTAGTATCTATACTGTTTACATTGCAGAATTGGGTATCTATTAACCTCTGCTTTTGCTTTTATCATAAACATCTTTCAGAAAAGGAAATAAATCAGACTGCAAAAAAATAGTAGTTACTTTTTATACCCAATTTCATATAATCTTCAGGAATTTTAGGAAGAAAGTTCTGAGACAGATACTATTTTATTGGAGCCTTAGATCTGCGTTAAAGTGAGTGTTTAATACCCTTCTGTTTCTGGTAATAAAAATGCTTCATCGGTTCTAGAAAATAGGAAAATTAATGTAGATATGTAGCGGTTAATTATATAACATGGGAAGTTAATACAAGAAAGCCTGTAGCAAAAGAGTATTATAATTAAGATAGGAAATTAAAACAGCATAGGATTTTCTACCTTTCTCTTCATTACTAGGCAGGAATGACCAATTAGGTCATGTACGATATAATCAATTTGATAAATCATAAGGGTGCCTTTTCCTTATTAAGAATGTTTCCTCAAAGTATAAGTTCATTATGTTATAAATATCATGCACTTGCTTCTTGCACATATAAACAGTCTTAAAGGGTGAAGTACGAGGTTTGAAATCACTGTTGTTAATTAAAGGTATATGACTTACAGTGTCTACCTCTACTTGGTTCTGACTCTTTCTTTTTCCACAAGCAGTTTACAACCCTGAGAACATACCTTCATCTAGTGAATATAAAAAAATATATATTCAGGTACCTACATTGAAGATTTAATTCTATCTCCTGGCATTTAAAAACTAAGTAAAATCTCAGTTCAATCTTTGATGTTTTAATAGCAGTTGTGCCCAAATAGGAGGTGTCAGCAATATAGTGTATTTCAACATAATCATATTCTTATGAACATAGGCTTTGCTTAAATATCTGCCACCTTTCAGAAGCTTCCAATGAAACACTGAAAACCAAGTTTTGCTCCCAAATGCTTGTGTTTTAGTCAAATGAATAGAATTGGTTCTCACATACTATTTTTTTGTTGTTTTTGCAAACTTCATTTTTATTTAGCTTATGTACATATCTTGTAACAGTGAAAAAGCTCCAAAGTGAGACAACTCCACACAGTCAGTATACTTCCCTGCTCAACAATATAATCAGTCGGCTCTCTATTTGCTAAGCATGGCTGAAACAAAGCACTGATTGGGCAGCTGTGAAAATGTATAATGCCACTAATTGTGATTGACAGCAAAATTAAGTGGAAGATGTGGGTGAGGGTGAGGTGGGTAGCCCAATGCAGATTATTCACCTAAATAGAACCTCTCATTAGCCCCACAGGACATTGAGCAAATTTAATAGGTGAACTTGGGATTTTTTTCCTTAAAAAGAGTTTAAATTCTCTATACTTCATTGTATGAAGGAATTATGTAGAAATTATTTAAGTATCATAATCAAATGGATTATTAGAGGATGAGTTAATATATATGGTTAAAACAGGCCACATTTTGATATGTAACAATAAACCAACTGTTATTTTTTGTTTTTTGAAATGTATGCATATTTATACTTTTTTGGCTTTTTGAAAGAAATCTATTTTATAAAATAGGTCCTTGTAACTTCACTCAATAGCAATGCTTCCAATATAGACACGGAAACTTCTTTAGGTAAACTTAGGTAAAGATCTTTCTAATATTTGAAGACTTGACTTGCCAATATTTAATGGTTCAATCAACTAATAAATATTTATTTAGCGTCTATACATTTTTAGCATCATATATATAAAATGAAGCATAGAACTTATTTGCAATATAAACTGCTTTATTCAACCTAGTACATTTGACAGTTAAGTTCTTATAAAATTTCTGGTAATTAAATATGGTGCTATAGTATGTAATAGTGTTTCACAGAGATGTGTTATAGAAAACCAGACACTCTGCAAAAAGGAGATCTGGGGCCAGGTAAATTTGGGAAATACATTGTATGTGAAGATTTAAAATACATATCACCATTAGCTTGCATAGAGACATACAAATAGTGTAAAAACAGGAAAAACTATTTATCTTCTTTAATAATCAAGAAAATGCAAATTAAAATAATGATTTTTATCATTGATCATATAAGCGTTGATAGAAAAAGAAGATAATCTTCAGTGTTGACAAGGTAGTAGGGAAATGAAAATGCCCACACATAGAATGGACAAGCGTGGCTGGTTGTTTTGTCAATTGGTACAACTTTCTGGCTGAAAGGATACGTCAAAAATATGTTCACATTTGAACCAGCAAGTATTTATACACACACAGACTCCCTCTCTCTCTAAGTTTGAAATTTTTTTCTGGGCTATATTAAAACTATGTGGTGGAATAGAGTGATTTTTTTTTCTTTTTGCTTATCTATACTTTCTACTTATTCAAAACTGAAGTTTTAAAAAGAGACATTAAAATTTCTTGAAAAAAAGTCTGAAGTTACTTAATCTAAAACCACAGAGTAAACTTTCAAATCCTTCTTTTTTTAAAAAACAACTGAAAGAAACCAAAACAGAAACTATTCAATCCTATGATTTTTTAGCAGTCAATACCTTGAACCTCATAAAATTTATTGATATAGAAGCCAAGGAACTGTGTGAATACGGGTACTGAAAACCAAGTGAACAAAACTAAAGACAATATAAACAAAGAATAGTTCAGACGACTCTCAAATGTTTTATCATTCGACTCACAAAGCCAAATTTGGTGCTTCAATTTGTTGCAATGAAGGAGAGTGCTAACTCATTATTTGAAGAAACCACTTGAGGTAAATGGACATTCACAGAAACATCAAGCTGATGTAAAAAGATGCCAATTTTAAACATAATTGAATGCTGAATTATTTCATCTTCTTAGATATATTACTTGAATTTTATTATTGTAATATTCATTGTTCTAAAACAATATATCCTTAAATGTAGAATCCTTATTAGTCCAAAGGTACAGTTAAAAATAGTTACACACTATTACCACTATTTGAAAGTAAATCTAGAGAAGAAAGGCTAATCAAGAAAGGGGGGCAATATTTACAGATTTGGATTAAAATAGATCTGTAAAGAAAATAGAACATGATAGGTTCAATAGAAATGGGCAGTGTTGCTATCCCATGAAAGGCAAAGAGGAGATATAAATTAAGAGTAGCCATTTGTATCTGCTTTTAAAAGTCTACCTAAATAAAAAAAATATATGCTCATTGGAACTCTTGTTATGGTAAGCATTTTCATTTAAAACCAACTTAAGGGACACAACATACTACTCTAGTGACCTAATAGCATATGGGGAGAATTCAAAATAATAAAGTAAAAATATAAGACTGATAAGAATACTACATATGAATATTATTTTTAGAATTACGTAAATAGGGAATGTCTTGAAATAATTTATCCACCAATAGTGCCACAAAAATAGAAGTGCTATTTCATGTAATGATAATTTAAATTTGAAAAGCATTTTTAATGTAGAGAAATGTTTTATTACCTAGATTATTATCTGATCCAAATCTCACAGAAACTCTCTATATGTGTATATCTGTATTTAAGAAATAGTGCGTCAGGTATTTCTATCTTCTCACTATGTGATCCAATACAGTAGCCACTAGCCACACATGGCTTTTTAAGTTTAAATAACTTCAAATGAAATGAAAGTGAACATTAAGTTCCTCAGTCACACTAGCCATATTTAAGTGCCCAATAGCCACATATGGCTAGTGGTTCCTCTGTTGGACACCACAGATATAGAATATACTCATCATTGTAGAACATTCTCTGGACAAGGCTACACAGAATCTTGGGAGAGAACACTCGACCTCCTATGCAGCTTGTAGGCTGTGGAAAAAAATCCTTATCAGCAAACAAGGTGTAACCCTGTACATAGCTTCTATGGTTATGGTCTACAGTGTGGTAAATCAGACTGGAAATGGTTACCCCCATTTTATAGACTAAGATTTATGTTCAGAGAAAGAAAATGCCTTCCCTGAGGTCATACACATAGCACATGACAGACCCATGAGCAGAATCTGAGTCTGAGATCTCTGGTAGTCAGAGATCACACTCTTGGAAAAAAATGGAAGCTATATAGCTTCCATCTGACATATAACTGAACATAATTCACTATAAGTTAGTTCAATATAAAAAGTATTATAATTTTTCTCAACCTTTCTTTCTGTAATTATGTCACTAAAAACTATAGCCTGCCACTAACTTAATCTTATTTAAACTGGATATAAACAATCTCCAAAAATATTTTGTACTGAATTTTAGACAGATGATCAAGGATAACTAGATTGATCAATACAGTTACTGTGTTACAGTAAAAGAGTAAAAATTCAGTAAACCAATCATTAAAAAGTTTACTTAATGAGTTAGATAATTTGGGTGCATGTGTTACAATGGTCAAGGTAATCGGTGTCCAATGTCCAGCATATACACAGTAAACATTTATTCAGAGTTTAATGGACTTTAACTTACTCTACTGTAATCAGGAAAATAGTAGACATAAAGCAATATTTTTAGGATATCTTTGGCACATATGGAAAGAAAATGATTATTGGACTGGTTTGAGCATAAAAAGCACTTTGAGAAATGGCACTCTGTTAATTGTAAACAATTTTGGAAGAATAAGAGTTTTGAATTTACTTTAAAGTTGCTTTTGTCAATGAGATTCCTGAGTCTGCCTTCCCCAGAAAAAGTACGTAGTATAATCACATTATCCTTTATTAAAAACAAATTAATTGTACCTGAGTTGAAACAGATTGTCTGATTTTTCCCCTCTTTGTCCAGATGATCATATCCTGCAAGCCAAGAAGAGAACACACATACCTACCCTTCATCCACTTCTCCCTAGATAATCATTCATCATCTTCCCCGCTGCCCAACTCAAATACTAGCCCTTACAATATATTATTGTCAAACAGAATTTTATTGTGAAATGTGGTATGTTCTATTGCCACAAAATTTCAGAGCAAGACGGACCTAAAAGTTCATAAATGGCTCTAACACTTCTCTGCATATATCTGCATATAAGAAACACCACAGTATGGCCTGTCTTAGTTACATCTGCCTTCCCCTAGGAGCAGACTTGGGAAGTTAATACAGGAACCCCTAGGCAGCCTGCAGGCAACAAGAGAAAAGCTTGTATCACTATAACCCTGTGAGGGGCTTTCTGGTTCTTGATCCCTAGTTTGGAGAGTCAGCCTCAAGAAATAGCAGGCTATGAAGTTGCTGCAGTGCACGTTAAAACAGCAAGACTTTTCCCTGTAATATTTGACCAAGATCATGGCTTTAAATTTTTATTACAGCCTCACTTGTAGGCAGAATTTCTTTGGGTTATATTTTTAATACTAGAGAAGGAAAAAGTAACTCAAACTGTCTTTGATAGGAATCAAAACTACCAGAACCAAGTGAATTATATTAATAAGCAAAATTTGTGCTCTAAACTTTTTTTGCAACTCTGTAAGCCACAGTACACTAGGCTCGTTAGGTAGGGGAATGTGGCATCAGTGTATGCATTTTGTAACATGTACATGGTAGATGATCATGAATATTTGTTGCTTACATTACTGTAATTTAAATAAAATATTACAGAACTATTGAGTTCTGGTTTAGTATAACAGAATAAGCACCCAAGTCCACCTCCCTTCTCTCTGTTTTTAAAACAATAAAACTATACTAATGCTGGAAAAAAACAAAAACAAAAACAGAAAAGGCACCAGCAGAGGACCAGAGAGAAAGTGAGCAGATGGAAGGGCCTAAGTTGACAAACAAAAGAGTATGGAAAAATGCAGCCTAAAATACCAGTAGTAAGCTCTTACTTCCCAGGGAACATAAAGGGCAAAGGGTGGGCCATGGTACAATCATCAGGGGAATTAATTAAAATCCACCATTGAGAATGGGCAGGCTGGTAAATCACCTACTCCTCCCACACCCTCACCACTTAATAGAGCAAGCTTTCTCACAGAAATGGCTTTTGCCCCCAGGATAAAGTCTGAGAAGTGCATTATTAGTCTAAGAAAACAAACCATCTGCCTGGAGAAAGCACCCAATATGGGTGGAGGAATGAGAAAGATAAGCAGAGCAGTTTAGCCTTAACTCTCAGCCTCAATTACAAATGTACTAATTAAGTCAGCCATGCCAGAGTAACATTGTATGGGCAATGGTGTGCTCAGTCCTGAAGTGAAGATCCTAAGGTGAAACTTGTCTACTTGTCTACCAACACATCCCCTTTTTAAGGGAGAAGCTTTTTTTTTAAAGAAATCTAAACAATCATGCAGAATATTTACTTCACATACTAATCATATTAATAAGGCTACTCCATATATTGAACCAACAACCAAAAAACATTAGGTATTTGAAAAAAAGCCAATAGCCTAAAAAATAATGAAAAGTTAAAAAATGTTAACAAGTGGCGAGAGATGAAGCAGACAATCCGGGGAACAGAAGAAAGCTTTAAGAATCTTGCAATTTGTATCTTCAGAAAGATTTTAGTGGCTTTATAAAACAAAAGCAGTCTGATGACGATTATTTTTTCTTAAAAAGCTATGATTTAGAGCAGAGAATCAATAGATAGAAAAAATATATACTCGAGTTTATTTTTTGAGTAATAAAGATAACCACCAGAAGAACTTAATAGAATTAGCAAAAATTGATGGTGACGAAAAATCACTAAATTCCTACTCTTTTTATAGCAGGGAGTTACCATATTCTATCTATAGTTGATAAATCAAGAAATAGAAGCAGTATTTTTCACATAATAAATGCTGCAGGAAATCAGTGGAAGCAATCAGTTAGTTGGCAGGAAGAAGACATTGCTCTGGTTTAGTTTATTTTTAAGGGTTTGTGTATGGAGACAGCCAAAATGTCCTGTTTAAGAAACATCTGCAGGACTCCTTTCAGTTCATGAATTGGCACATGAACCAGTATATATTCAATATGCTTGGATTTATTCAATATGCTTGGATATCTCTCTAAAGACAAATCCAACCAGTGACCATACACTTGTTTATTGTTGAATGCTCCCAGAAAAGCAATTCCCTTCCGACCACAAAAAGCAGTATCATAAAGAAGATATGTATTGTCAGTTTCTTGTGGGCAGAGAGTATTTCATTTTCCATTTTCAAGAGACCTAAAAAAATAAAAATTATAAAAGGTGTTTTCTTCTGGGGTTGAGGGAGAAGACCTACTTCTTATCATTTCGGAGCATTTTATATATACTTTTAAACATGCAGGCATTATTTGGTTCCTTTAAAGTTTTTTTGTTTGTTTGTTTTTTGTTTTTGTTTTTGTTTTTGTTTTTTGAGACAGAGTCTCATCTGTTGCCCAGGCTGGATTGCAGTGGTGCGATCTTGGCTCACGGCAACCTCCGCCTCTCAGGTTCACGCCATTCTCCTGCCTCAGCTTCCCAAGTTGGGACTACAGGCACCCACCATCATCCTTGGCTAATTTTTTTGTATTTTTAGTAGAGATGGGGTCTCACCATGTTAGCCAGGATGGTCTCGATCTCCTGACCTCGTGATCCGCTCACCTCGGCCTCCCAAAGTGCTGGGATCACAGGCCTGAGCCACCATGCCCGGCCTTAAAGTATTTTTTAAAACATCTAATTCAACAATAGGGCTGAGACTAGGTGGTTAGAAAACTGAATGAGCTTAAAATAAATATTAAAGGCACTTAAAATAAGGATGAGAATTTCAGAATCATTAATAAGGCACTAAGAAAGGTGGATTTAATTATCTCTTATTCACCCAATTAGCAGTTGTTTGAACTTTGAGAAACTATTGCAGAACTAGTGTGAGAATGGTCTCCTCTTCCTATACAGGTTTAGGAAATAATTCTGTATTTTTACCCATCAGTGCCTTTCCTTAGGGTAGTGTATTTTATTCACATATTTTTGAAAATACTGACAATATGAATTGGAATAACCTAAAATGAATTAGTCACAGTTTTCCAGTCTTAACAATTACTACATTTTTATGTGTTTGGATTTGCTTTATTCAAAGAATTAAAGCTGAAACTTAATACGAATAATGAAACATCCAGAATTTTAAAATGAGTTAAATAATGATTTAAGACTTGGAACCATCCCAAATGCCCATCAATGATAGACGGGATAAAGAAAATGTGGCACATACACACAATGGGTTACTATGCAGCCATAAAAAAGAATGAGTTCATGTCCTGTGCAGGGACATGGATTAAGCTGGACGCCATTATTCTCAGCAAACTAACATAGGAACAGAAAACCAAACATCGCATGAACACAGGATCAGAAAACCAAACACTGCATGTTCTCACTCATAAGTGGGAGTTGAAGAATGAGAACACAGGGACACAGGGAGGGAAACATCACACACCAGGGCCTGTTAGGGGGTGGGGAGCAAGAGAAGGGAGAACATCAGGACAAATACCTAATGCATGCAGGTCTTAAAACCTAGATGACAGGTTAATAGGTGCAGCAAACCCCCATGGCACATGTACACCTGTGTAACAAACCTGCACGTTCTGCACACGTATCCCAGAACTTAAAGTAAAATTAAAAAAAAAAAAGAAATAGCACATAAAAATAAATAAATAAATAATGAATACCTACTAAACTCAGCTTTAAATAGTATTGGTTAATTTGGCTTTATTAACGCTAGTGCTAGTAGTACTTTGTTAGTAAAACTACCTTTACTAGTACAAAGTACATTTTTATAAGTGCATTGCAATAGCGTGAAATTTTCTACTAGATCAAAATAGATTATTTACAGTAAGCAATGTTGTTTAAAATATATTTAAGCATTAATTAGGAAAAAAACCTACTGTTTGGAATCTTGACAACTTGATATATTTCAAATGACTGTTTTGAGGGAAACCTCCCTATAAAAATCTCAGTTAAGATGGAAATATACCCAGTGAAATACTGATATATATCACCATTTCAGAATAAAGAAACAGAAATAACTTAAATTCATATAATATCTGAAAGCACCTTATTTATTTTAAAAATAAATTTTTTAATTTGTAAAAATTAAATAAAAGCAAATAGTTCAGCAACAACACTACAAATGATTATTATATATAAGATGCAAATATTGTTAAAATCTATTTGCATATTCAATGCATAAATTAAAGCCATCAAGCATTCTATAAAGTGTCATTTAACAAATTATAATAAGGTATTTATAAATGGAACCTTAATAGAAGAGTAAAATTACTAAAACACTTCCAATAAATCACATTACAGTAAATATTTTATCCTTCCTACATCCCACAAATAATCTCTTTATTCCTGAAATAAAAAGGAGTATCAGAGACATTTGACAAGACCCATCAGAGACTAAGTATAAAACTTAATCTCCAATATGTATAAAACTCTTTTTAAACTTCACACTATTAAGTTCTTAATAGTATAGTTCTTAATTAGTTCAATCATTGTGTCTATCTGATATTCAGGAGTTAACCAGCTGAAAAATTTGGTCAAGCAAGTTAGTTGTATTTTGTAGGCAAAACTCCAAAAATCTTATATTACTGGAATTATTTTGCTTTTAAACTGAATTTACCCAAAACAATTGGTTTGTGCAGACAGTTTTGTCTACACACTACACACACACACACCCCAACCAAACACATAGCTGAAAATTATGCTAAATATATTCATAGACCATGAAAACACACAATCATAAAATCGTGTTCTCCTCAGACTTTTAATAATTACATTAAACATTACAGCAAATTATAAAGATCCTAAATATTTATTTAAATTATAAATGCATTTGCACACTATCTTGTAGCATGTTAAAAAAAATTTCAGCTCCCTGCAACCTGTGCCTCCTGAGTTAAAGAGATTCTCCCACTTCAGCCTCCCAAGTAGCTGGGACCACAGGTGCATGTCACCACACCCAGTTAATTCTTTTGTATTTTTGGTAGAGACGGGGTTTCATCATGTTGGCCAGGCTGGTCTTTAACTCCTGGCCATCAGTGATCTGCCCACTTCAGCTTCCCAAAGTGCTGGGATTCAGGCGTGAGCCACCATGCCTGGCTTTTTTTTTTTTTTTAATAGTAGCGTTTACTACAGTGCTTCTTAAATTTTAATGAGCATAAATTAACTGAAGACCGTGTTAAAATGCAGACTGTAATTCAGTAGGTGTGTGGTGGGGCCCCACTGAGATTCTACATTTCTAAGATATTCCCAGGAGATTTGGTTGGCCCATAGAACACACTTTGTTTAAAGAGGCTTTGGAATAAGTGGTTTCTAATTTTTACTAATAATCAGAATCACCAGGAGCTCTTGGTAGAAATACAGATTTTCTGACCCTTTCACCAAAAATCATAAATTTGTAAGTTGGGGTGAGACTCAGAAAAATGTCACCCTGATGGCTACGCAAGTTTGGAGCATGCTGACATAAAGACTAGTAAACTTAACAAAAACTCTATCCATTCCTTAATGTCTCACTATTTCCAAAAATCTTTACATACTTCAGAAACTTTTCTTCGTTAGTAAGGATAAACTACCATTTGATGAGACATGGAAGAAAAATAAAATTGAATATTGCTTACAGTTTCACTCAAAACTATACTTCGTTTTTGATTCTATGAAGAGGTGTTTAGATTAAGCATTATGAATAACAAAAGCAAACAAAATTCCATGGAAATAAATAAAAAAGAGATTGCTTTTTAAAGTACCCACTATGTGCCAGACATTGTGCTAGAAACACTTGTGTGTATTTTTCATTATGTAGCATGGGAAAATGAAGTAATATGCCCCCAATGTAATAATCTAGCAAAGAAAAGTAAAAAAGGAGGAACTTTCCAATCCATACGGATGTTACTGTAGCAAGATAAAAATACCTTAGCCAGGACATGATAGGGACTCCACAAACTCTACCACTTTCAGAGCAGAGAGGAAGGAGAGACTTGAGTGGGCAAAGCCATGGTGGTGGGCAAGAAGTGAACATATTCAGGGCAGAGTGAATATTTAATTATTTTTGAGAGTCTGTTAGCAAGATAGTTGACAGAAAGAGGGTAGATTTTAGAGAAGTAGCATAGACTAAAGAATGTCAAGTAAGTGTTTAGACTGACAAACAGAAGAAAAAATTTAATGAAAGTAAGGTGTTAGTTCAAGAAAGATAAGGAAATGTAAACTAATAGGAGAAATACAGGAAGTTGTGATCAGAATGTTAAAAAATTGTCAAGTTTTTGAGAGCATGTGTTGGAACTTTGCCTATTAACTGTCAAATCCTTTTTGTGTGCTTGTTTGCAGTGGATGGAGCTGAAAATCAGTGGTTTATGGGAGGTGGAGAAAAGCAAAGCCAAAGTGTTCAAGGCAGATAAGTTCATTCAAATAGGCACTGTTCTAATGTGGGGGAAAAGATTTCCTTTAAATGATGTTTGTAGTGGAGTAATAAAAAAAAATCAGAAAAATGCCATAGATGGTGTGATGTAAAAGTCAGATCTTAGAGTCAGAGAGCCCTGAGTTTGGATCTTGACTCAATCATTTACTAAAATGTGACCCCAAATGAATTATTTTATTTTTTAGTTATGCTCACTTTCCTCAATAAAAAAAATAGTGTAAATGTGTATAATAAAAATTATTGCAAAGAGTTGTAATACCTCAAAGGGTGTGTGGGCTTCTGCCAAAGTAAACATGCTGTGATTTTTGCCTCATAAAATTTGATATACTCGATACTTTGACCAAAACTTTAGTTAAGGGCAAAAGAGAAAAAAAATTAATTTAGTTTGAAGAGCTACAACAAATTTGCATGGCTGGTAACTTAAAAAATGTGGGGAAAGGATTCTGATTATCATGTTAAAATGAATAATTTTTGGTAAAAATGATGTAGGAACTATTTGCTCAGAAGTCACAGAAATATTTGGACGGAATATACTCTCAATCAAAAGTCACCAATTCCTGAAATTCTGCTGTTTAAGGTCTACTCTGTGAAGCAGAAATATCATCGGTGAACAGACAACTATTTTCCTGAAAGGAATAATTTATTCTTATCAGTCATCAACTTAGAATGAACATATTTTTCAGGTCATTCTCTAAGAAAGATAGATCAGTACAAGCTTACAGGGAAAAATGTTGATAGTAAGGCCTAGGGGTTAGCTTTTGGACAATTATCTGGACACAGTACAAAAAAAAACTTGGGTGGAGCTGGTTAGAAACAAAGTCGTGAGGCTCAGAAATGACAAATATGCAGTGAAAGTGGAGTGATAAAGAAAAGTTTCTTGTTTTTTGCTTTTTTTTTTGAGACAGGCTTACTCTGTTGCCCAGGCTGGAGTGCAGTGGAGTGATCTCTGCTCACTGCAACCCCCACCTCCGGGTTAAAGGGATTCTCCTGCCTCGGCCACCCAAGTAGCTGGGATTACAGGTGTGCACCACCATGACCAGCTAATTTTGGGTTTTAGTAGAGGCGGGTTTCACCATGTTGGCTAGGCTGGTCTTGCTCGAACTCCTGACCTCAAATGATCTGCCTGCCTTGGCCTCCCAAAGTGCTGGGATTACAGGTGTGAGCCACCACGCCTGGGCAAAGCAAAGTTTTTCAACTGTGGACTCTAAGAGCAAGGTGCCTATTTGTGTCTTTTGTGGTTATTTATTTCTTCATTATTTATTTTTGTTTTCCTTACACTTTAGTTCCAATTTCATAAACAGCAAGAAAATAGGTTTTTGTATATAAAGATGTTATCTTGGCATATCTTTATATCCACAGTACTAAAGGCAGATTTAGGTAGTTAAATATGTCTAAGGGCAGATTCAGTGGTTGGTTTATTGGGTTTCTCTTAAAGTTTAAAACTGACAATACAGTAAAAAAGAAACTATCATAATATTTCTGCATATAATTCTCTCCTGTTACATGATCTGTTTTCACTAAAAGGTTTTTCTAAAATTTGAAAAGCTTTATTTTATTAATTACCAAAAATTAACCAATTATTTAAAAAGTTCAGAATCTTAATATTATCTAAATGTTTCATAAAATAATTTATGTTCTTTAGATTTATGCTAATCCATCAACTCTGAGGAAAAGGAAAGAACACTTACATTGTGACTGTATTATTACAATCTTTTATGAGAAAATAGTTGCTAAGTTTTAACTCTAATGAGCAGTTATTCTCTTAGCTAATAATATCATCAAATATAACAAATATGGTGAGAGTAAAGCTGTCACATCTAGAAAATTTTAGCAGCAATAAGTACACCCTTTCCTTATTTTACATGATTTGTCCTAGAAGCAGGAATCCCTAAAAGGTGATAATCAAAGCTTGAATTCAGGTGTTGTGACACTGCGGGAGAAGGATATAATGGTAGTCACAAACTATAAACAGACAACACATAATATAAGAGTTAACAGTCTAACTATGAGTTTGCTCATCTTTAAATTTCTACCCAATTCAGATGAAAGTGGGTTTCTATTCTTTTTAAAGATTAACTACCTCTCTCTGTGCCCTTAATGGCATCACCCTCCTCCCATCATGTTTCAGACCTTGTTTCAATACTTTGTTTTCCCTCTTGCATTTTTAGTCTTTTCATTGCCACTGTCAACATCTCCCCTGCACCAAGATCTTTCTCAATTTGCTTTCGTCTCAAGCCACCATTCTATCATTTTCCCCTTTAGCAGCATTTTTCCTGAAAGACTAATGTATACTATTTGTAATCTCTATGTACTTCTTTCTTGGTGACCATTCAAATCACTGCTCTATGGTATATTCTATTGAAAACACTCTTGCCAAATGTAATGACTTTCTTCGTGTCTTATCCACAGTCTTAAACCCACATTTCAGTCTTTAATAATGCTAACCACCCTTAGGTTAAAACAAATCTCTTCCAGTGGTTTCCAGGGACTAGGGGGAAGAAGGAATGCATAGGGAAAACACAAAGGATTTGTAGCGCAGTGAAAACTGTGTATGATACTACAATGGTGGATACATGTCATCATGTATTTGTCCAAACCCATAGAATGTACAACACCAAGAGTGAACCCTAATGTAATCTATGGACTCAGGGAGATAATGATGTGTCAGTATAGGTTGAACAGTGGTAAAAATATACCACTCTGGTTGGGATGTTTATAATAGGAGAGGCTATGTGTGTAGGAGGTATATGAGAAACTCCTAACTTTCTCTCAGTTTTGCTGTGAACCTAAAACTAATCTGACACACAAAAAAGTGTTAATTATAAAGAAGATGGCCAGGCACAGTGGCTCACGTCTGTAAGGCCAGGAGTTCAAGACCAGCCTGGGCAATGGTGAAACCCCATCTCTACAAAAAATACAATAATTAGTCAGATATGGTGGCTTGTGCCTGTGGTGCCAACTACTGGGGAGGCTGAGGAGGGAGGATCGCTTAAGCCTAGGAGGCAGAGGTTGCAGTGAGCAGAGACTGTGCCACTGCACTCCAGCCTGGGTGACAGAGCCAGACTGCATCTCAAAATAAATAAATAAATAAATAAATAAATAAATAAATAAATAAATAAATAAACGGAAGAAGATAGAAGCAACAAATCCAATCTGTCCGTGTGCTTGTGTGTGTGTGTGTGTGTGTGTGTGTGTGTGCATGTGTTTATGTGAGTGTATCTTCTATTGGCCTTTGACTGCTGGCTCCTGGTTCTCTACTGCTATAGATTCACATTCTTTGCTGGCTCATTCTTCCTTTACCCAGTGTCTTGTGTTGCAACTTCTCTGTGCTATCTTACTCTTCAGGATCTCCTTAAAAATTATGGGACTCTAGTCTCCTGTATATTATATGACTTCCAAAAATGCATCATCTCCAACTCAGTGCTAACTGCCTACTGAACACGCAGATATCCCACTTCTCAAACAAAACCGATTGTCACTTTCAACTTCCTACTGCCTATGGTCAAACTTGCTATTTTTGTGTTTTAGGTATCACCAGGGTCACAACCTGCCAAATACAGATAACCAGGTATAAAATTACAGAAATCTCAATTTCTTGTTTTTCTAATTGTCAACATGCTTTTAAAAATCAAGTCGTTGTATTCTTTCTTTTCTTTCTTGTTTTCTGTTTTGTTTTGTTTTTGTTTTTGTTTTGAGACAGAGTCGCACTCTGTTGCCCAGGCTGGAGCACAGTGGTGGTGTGATCTCAGCTCACTGCAACCTCTGCCTCCCGGGTTCAAACAATTCTCCTGTCTCAGCCTCTCAAGTAGCTGGGACTACAGGAATATGCCATCACACCCAGCTAATTTTTGTATTTTTAGTAGAGATGGGGTTTCACCATGTTGGTCAGGCTGGTCTCGAACTCCTGACCTCAGGTGATCCACCCGCCTCAGCCTCCCAAAGTGCTGGGATTACAGGCGTGAGCCACCGTGCCCGTCCTTCTTTCTTAAATCTGTCTTATTTCCTTCTCCTATCCTTCCCCTAGTTAAGATGACGATGATTGGTTTTTCTGATAACACACTCTAATTGGACACATAGACTCCAATATTTTTTGTCATTCCAGTGACTGCTTTCTATTGCTCTAAGGATATCTTAAGTAGGATGGTCTAGTTATGTTACATCCACTTCCTTACTCAAAATCTTACAGAATATTTAAGGTCCTTTTAAAAAGGCACTTAAAACTTCAAATTCTGGCATTAGCCTATACAATAAGAGGCTACATATGCCAATAAGATTTTTTTTAAACTTTACCTCAAATAAACCTCTCCTAACTACTTGTTTTTAATTCCTCAGTACAATGATTGAATCTCTCCTTAGAGTGCATAGATTTTTGAATCCTAAATTACGTATTTCCCATTTTCATAATCTAAATTTCTCAAATATAGGTGATAACTCATCATTTTACTGAAAATGCTGCTTAGCAACATGAGTTATCCATAGTATATGCTCAGTGAATATGTGTTGAATGGAATTATCAATGGAGCTATGTAAGAATAATTCCAAAAGTGTGAGTTAGACAAGTATGATACACAATATTAAAAAAGGAATTAATCCATGTGAACTGTGTTGGTGAAAAAGCATTCATGTGCAACAGTAACTGAGTTCGGGCTTGCATAACCGGTGGAAGTTGATACACAGGGAAGAAAAGGAAACAGGCTATGGGGGGACAGAAAAAAAAATGGAATATGGTATGTCTGAGAACAGAAGCAGAAGGTAGGGAAAGAAAAGAGCCTAGTTTGGGGTGGGCGACAGTCACAGCAACAAAACTGTATGTGCTAATTAACAATAGTAGAATTGATAGGTCCCAGATACTTATCTAGGACTGATCTAGAATCACAATTTCTCGAAAGAATTCTGTAACCTCTGTACCCATTTCTATCACTAGTGCTATGAATATATTTTATGGGATAAAAATTTTATGTTATGAACTTAGTATCTTTATCTGATCAATCCAAGCATCTAACCTGGGCTTTATACATTGAGTGTCCAATATTTAAATATCAGACTTAAAAGTATTGTCTTATCTCCTTTTCTTAGAATTTCAAGATCAGGATGGCACAACAGATCCACTAACCACTTATTTTTAATTGTTAATACATATTTATCTGACACATAGTAAACAAACAACTGGAAAAGCCTGGGAAACCCTCAGATTTTGGTCCTTTCTATAAAGCAATTGATCCTTCTTGAATGTATAGTCTAAATAAAGAGAAAATGTAAAGGATTAAGGCTTGGTAACCATTAGGCTTATTCTTTTAACAATTAGAAACTAAATTTCTATTGCCTTATATATGTTTTTTAAGTGTCCTTTTTCTCCTAGCTGAAGTCCTAATAAAAGAACATAAGCAATAAATCTACAGTCTGGAATTTCACAATTCACTTTAAAACATTTCTGAGGAAATCACTGAGGAACCTTAAATTTTCCTTTTCTAAAACCTTGACCTATAAATAAAACAATGTCATAGATATGATTGAGACCTTAAAAGTGTCCTAAACAAACCACATGTAGTCAAGTAATATGAATGGTAATTTTAAAAGTAATCATGATATCCATCTGGTTTTTAAAGCTTTTTCATAGGTAAATGTGATCAGCAACATTTGGAAAAACAGAGTGATTTCCTTATTTGACAGACACATAGAATTAAAACTAAAACAAATGGCCTGGCAAAATTAATACATATGAACCATGAGTCAAGACTAAAGAACTGTCAGATCATCAGTAGCTCCCTCTTGAATTCAATTAATAATGGGGAGATATTAAGGAAGTCACTTTTATTCTTTAACACTTTTTTTCAATTGTAAAATAAAGGAGTTGAATTAGATGAACTATAAGGCCCCTTTTAGCTCTAATACACTATCAGTCCATATAGGATGAAAATAGATGTTAAGCAGACATCCCTTCCTTTGAATTTTGGCAATCTGGCAATGTAGTAACAGGGCGCAACCCTTCCAAAATAGCAGTATCTACTCAGGTAATATAAAAGGAGAAAAGAGTAGATACGCAAAAAGTATGTTTTCCAGCCTCAATATAAAAGAGTTTAAGAGATATAATCTCTTATACCTACAACTTACAGGCAACAAGGATAGGGAAGGAAATAAAGATAAAACAACAGTACATTTGTTATTCATATTAATTGAATTTTGTATTAATGATCTATGCACCAGAAAATGTTCTTCAGGTATATGTATATGATACACTAGAAATATTGAATTCCTAAACTTTTAAGCTTGTTTATTCAATTCTGAGGACATCATTTTGGTAACACTTTCTCTCTACAATTGCACAACTCTCTGTGAATTTATGAATTATGCTTAATATAATGAGAATTTATCTCTGAGATGTTTGCTTGATGCCTCCCCTTTATTATAATCTCTTATGATGACGTTTCTTACTCTCATTCTATACTGGCTGTTGTATGCCAGACTAAATATTCTACATATAAAATTCTAAATTACAGCATTACTCATAAAATATTAAATATATAACATATGTAGTCTGAAGTATAACGTTATAACTAGAATTCTGTATCTGAAGAGGAGATGGTTTCTTCCAATATTGTAAAATATCTCACAATCTCTCTCTTAAGAGAGATCAGGAGGAAGTCTGGTGGGAAAGAAATCATGACTTCATGGAAAGGAGCTAAGGAGCATGATTGTGAGAGCCTGAGCATTACAAACTGTTCTTTATGCTAAGTATTTTAAAAGTTCAATTTTGAATTCTCTAGCTTGGTATAAGACTTTATCTGATTAACAGTATGAATCTATTTGCATAAAACTTATTGTTATGATAAACAGTAGGATTATTTGAAAGTAAATAAGTGCAATTTCATCTAAATTGTCTGATGCATAAAGTTATTATAGCATAACAAAACTCCGGTGATAGTAGGCTTTCTGAACGCCATTGTTAAAGTACAGCATGTAGCTTCAGGTTTAAGTTTTGTTGTTGTTGTTGTTGTTTTTCAGGTTTAAGTTTTAATGTCAGTGGAAGTCCCGTGCTGCTTAACCTGACATCCTATGTATTGAAATTTATATTTTAAAAATCCTGTTATTTAGAAATATTTTTAAGTAAATACAGTACTGCATAAACTATGCCAGTTATAAACATTTGGTTCCATAATTTTTTAATCCTATGCATAACAAACAATTCACTCACCTAATGAAAATTACAAATCTAAAACATGTAACTTCAATAAGAAAGAAAAATGAACTGCACATAGAATTGAATAAAGACACATGCACACTCTTTTATATAATTGCTTAGATATGTGTATGTATGATGTATGTTTGTTTGTGTATGAGCACAATTCTGAAAATTTATACACTAAAATGACAAAGCATTTTCTACAACTTTCAATTATGCTAAATAAGATGATGTGGAAATAGACAGGGAACAGAAATACAAATAGTAAATACAGAATACACATTTCCTTAAGCGATGTTTAGAAATACGCAAAAACTATAGAGCAAACGGTTAGAAGTTAATGCCAATTATATGTCATATTTGTAGAGACTATCACTAATAGCTCATTACAAATAACTTTAAAATGCAAAATACAGTCTGTCCTAATAAGCACCATAAATGAATATTATTGCCACATACATATTCTAGTGTGTGTATCAATTTATTTGATGAAAAATATATTAACAACAACAAAACCACTGACTAAATAAATAATCCTTTCATCAGCCCCCAATTTCTGCCACACTAATGCTTTGGTGAATCATCAAGGGGAGTAAATTATTCATTATAAATTTCAAAGACGATCCTCCATTGAAAAATGTCTGCTACTGGTCCTTCTTGGAACCAACATCAAGAATATTCTTGGGAATCTCAAATATTACAATGAAATAGAAGGTGAGGGGCAACCACTCAGGAGAAGTTTCTAGAACAAACTGAGATCAGGGAGCTTACATTCCAGCTGAGAGGGGCGTGTAAAGATAATTACTAATATGTTGAATTACAGTAGAAAAAAAGATTAATCAAGAAATTGCATACAAATGTCAGCCAAGGCTTTAAAAACAAAAACCTGTATTCTGTTTCAGATGGATACAGCATCTGGAATGTTTTTAACAATAACCCTAAACATGGTCACTATATTATATCTTTATGGAATTAACAAAACAATCTATAACATAAGTGTTTGAAACATTTCATTATCTTAAGTTTATTTCTTACTGAAGGGCCATAGTATGAATACCATCATAATAATCAATAAAACCTACTCAAAAATAAACACAGTAAAACAATGAATTCAAGTGTACACCACACATCTTTTTACAAATGTATACAGTATTTTATAAAATACTGTAAACAGCTTTTATAAAAAGGGTACTGTGAAAAAAATTACTGCAACATTATCCTTGGTTAATTGTTTTCAGCATGTTAGTTAAAACTGTCAACACTGATAAGTAGTAATTTATCTTTAACTTCAGGTTACTCTCTGCTAATATGTTTATAATATAGGAAGGAAGAAAAAAGTAGAGGCAATTCAACATTGCTGCATGTATTTCCTAACTTTGTATCTTCATGTGCTTTAGCTGGATACAGACAATTGGGGGACAATCACTTTTCCTTACGTATTTTAGCTATGATTCTTCTTGGCTGCCAGGCATCATTTAGGTCTGGTGAGGCAGAGTTCTGTCTCTTCCACTTAGCTGTCTTCCACTTAACAAGTCAGAAAGCATTTGGAGAACACTATTTTTTGTGTGAGTGAACAAGTCAGTATTCAACTTAAATCGATTAATATAAAGACTCCTCTCAGTGGATAACACTGCCATCTGTCTTGGCCGTGACCCAAGGTACAATGTCCAATGCCCCTTTTAGTGTTAATACCAAAAATACACTTAAATTTACATCCAACAGAATTGACTCTTTCATCCAAGCAAGAGTATATTGATGCTATTACAGATACTGACTCAACATCTATTGCATGTTTACTATGTGTTAGTCATTATGGTAAGTACTTTTTAGGGTTATCATATTTAATTCCCGTTACCACCTTATGAGGTAGGTAGTATTATTGTTATAATTTTACAGACTGAGAACGTGAAGCAAAGCAAAGTTAAGAAACTGGCCCAGTTATCAAACCAGAAAGCTGATTGTAGAGCCCACAGGGTGGATTATTTGGTGTTGTGTAGGATTTATGTAAAGCCTCAAGAGAGAGATGAATTTGGAACACAAATAAAAAGATATTTTAAAAAGCATCACTATCCCTGTTTTCTTATTTCTTCCAACCCAGCATCCCCATTAAAAATGAACCATTCAGGAGATAAACATAGTAAAGACCTGTAGGGAGAAAGATCAAATGTGGCCAGTGTAATTTAATTTGAATGGAAAATAAAGCAGTTATACCAAGGCTAGGCAAGTTTCATTTTCAGATTATAGGTACAAGACATTTTGTTCATCAAAAGATTCATCTGGCTCAATGCTAAAGGTTTTAAAAATAAGAGCCAAAGACAAAGACCCTAAGCATTCCACATAATTGCCTTCGCAGTTAGAACTAACTGGCAGAATCCTATGTAAAACAGTATTCACTTAGGTGTAAAAACCTGTAGGCAACACTAACAATAAGATTACTTGCAGATAGGTGTTAATGAGGTCATTCAGGCAGATGAGGTGCCAACAGGGTATAGTTAGAGAGTAGTGAATGAACTTGGGTTACTATCTTGTAAGGAAGCCAAAGATTGTGAAATTTAGAATCTTGGCAGAGTTACTCATTTGTAAAGCTGTTTGATAAATCAGGAAAAAAAGAAAGGCATGTATCCTAGTACCGAAGTTTGAAAGAAAAGTAAAATAAGTGAAGATTTTTTTTTTCAGATTAAACTAGACACTATTTGAAAAAACTGAATGTGAAAAGCAAGCATTGAAAAGTATTCTCTAACAATGAAGCTCTCTTCCTCTTATACCCTCGTTTTTTAAAGCCAGAAATTAATGCTTTTTTATCTATTAAATTCAAAGTTATAATAAGGACATTATATTGTTACTCTTAGAATAGTGAATATACAATCGAAGGAGCCCAAATATTTCTTCAAATACAACAAGTAGATAAAATTTAGAATCACAATTTTCACATAAAGATAAGTGCATACAATTACTGCCCAGTATTGCAATGAATTGATAGAGGCACATTAAATATAATTTATTAGTGAGTACATTAAAATATCACTACTGTTCAACAATGTAATAGAGAGGTACAATACTCAGGGGATGGCCAATGTTTGATGGTTATCAATAAGCCAAGACACCAGAAAAAACCCTATGAAAAAATATTTTTATTGCACGTTTTGCTAGTAAATTGATACAATTATATCTGAAAAAGGATGGTATAATGAAGAGCTTTTGACCCCTGTTTAATATCAAATATGTAATATTATTTCCTTGAGATAATTTGGGCTTTAACCTTCATTTGGTAATGTAAGTTGTTTTCTCTCCCTGCAATTTTTGGCACTTTACTTTAGGCTTGTTAATAAAATTAAGGGATTTTTATTTTTTAAGTGAATTAGGTGTGATAGGAAGAGTAAAAATTAATTTAATCCACCAATTTGGAACATGTGCCTGAAAATTTTGGCTTGTATGTGTGTGTGTGAAGGCTGATCAACCACAGAAATAATATGTGTGACATTAAATTAACACTTTGATAGGCATTATGTAGGGTCTCTTAACATTTGAAAACTATTGTAATAATTCACAATTTATTATAAATGTTAGTTACATAGTGATGAAAACATATGGCAGGCTTTAGGTACCCCATCTATCTTTTTGACCTCTTTCTTCCTTTTAGCCCACCAGTACTCTTACGGTGTTCCAGACTACCACTCTGGCATATTGGTACTTATAAATGCAATGAATACTAAAACAGAACCATGTCCATCACATAGCAATTGTCAATTATGAATAATATAGTATTTTTTCTGGTTAGTATATTGATTTTAAATCACATTATGTAGCCATTTTAGCATGCTGAAGTTTATATATAAGGTAATCAATAAAGGAAAATAAGCAGTTAATATTACTTAAATAAGATTTCCCTTGTGTTGTGAAGTCAAGAAGCCCCATTTGTAAAGTCACTCAATGACCAAGATGAAGTATGAAATTGGCACACTACAGAGATTGCAAAGATCTGATGGCAAATGCACTGCTATGCTCCTCCTTTCCCACCAGCCATACCAGACCTCACTAACTCATACTGGTGCTCTTTCTATCTGAGAGATGAGATGCAGTCTCAGACACATGGAAGAACCTCAGACTTCTACTTAACACTGCATTCAAAGCAGCCAAGAACAATTTGGGATACCTTTGGAAAGACCAATACACTGGTCATCACAAACTTGGGCAACAAATTCAGCTTTACCATTGAGAAATTACATGGCCTCTGGTGAATCATTTCACTTCTTCATGTCTCATTTTCATTCTGAAAATATGTCAGTGAAAATATAAACTTTTGATGCTATAGATTTCTTTTCTCTCATCAGTAGAACAGAGATTTGTTTTAAATGGTAAAAGTAGTTTTAGATAAAGAGCAAACACTATTAGCAGTTAAGCCACCTCACTCTTCAGTTTAACGAAAACAATTTTTCCATTGGGATTATTTTAGGAAAAAGTGTTACTAATTAGGAAAACTGTCCCATTTTTAATGCACTATTTTTAAAAGTAATTTTAAGTTAATTTTCTTTATTAAGTTAAAGAATATAATTGCACTTGATGTTTACCTAAAATTTATCTTCCTTTAAAATATACAGAGAATACTTAGAAATTAAGATTATTTTAATCTTTCACATAAACTTAATTACATCATATCAGCAAAACTTACCAAAATTTTTAAATTTTTGCTATTTTTCTTTCAAATGTTGTTACAAAAAAGCTTAGGGGGACCAAATACTATAGGATTAAAGTGAATGAGGCCACAAACCAGGTAATTTCAGGTCTCTCTGAAGCCAGCATATATAACATTTATTACCCATCCTTGACATTCATTATTTCTTTTTTTTTTGACATTTACCATTTCTATAGAATAGGATATGTTATTGCTGCTTCCACTTTTGAGTTTATTTTGTATTGCAACTAACATTTTTAAAAGTTTCATATTTTCCATAAATATCCTTTCATTAATTTGACACTATTTTTATTGAAAACATTTTCTGTCTTTTTAACCAAAGTATGAAATTAGATATTTCTTCTTCATTCAGGAAGACATTGATTGTATATGAGTATTAATTTTGTTGTTGTTCGCCAATTATAATTAGGAAATATTATGTATAGAGTAGTAAAAAGTAAATAAATTTTGGCTGAGTCAATTTAGAAATACTCTAGCCCATTGAGCCTAAATAAATACATCAGTTCTTAAGGAAACAAGCAAAAGTTGTGTATAGTAGTCCTTCGGTATGTGTAGGGGATTGGACACACATAGATACCAAAATCCATAATTGCCCAAGTCCCTTATATAAAATGATGTACTATTTACATATAACCTATGCACATCCTCCTGTATACTTTAAATAATCTCTAGCTCACTTATAATACTTAATGTAAAATAAATGCTGTATAAACAGTTGTTACAATGTTTTCTTTGGGGAATAATGATAAGGAAGAAAAATGTATGAAAATTTTCGGTACAGATGCAACCATCCATTTTTTCCCCAACTATTTTGGATCTGTGGTTGGTTGAATCCACAGATACAGAACCCATGACTGTGAAGCGCTGACTATATGTGAAAATACATGACTTATATGTTTCAAGATTTCTTAAGAATGCAGGTAGAATCTATGCTCAATAGAAACATGAAGTTGCTTTATTTAAAAATTCTTGAATGGAGACTTGAGGATTACTATCCATTTCCAAGGATAACTGCTATGTGAATTGGGCCACATAAGCAATTTTCACCAAATATTACAGTCCAAAGTGACAAGTTACACTCTAGTGGCAGAATGTTTAAAAGGCCTTGGTATATTTATATGACAACTTGAAGAACATGGAACAGCAATTTTGTTCTAAAATATGTGTTGAATCAACTCATTATCTATGCCCATTTATTTTCTGCATATCAACACTCCCTCATCAAATTATTCCTAAAAGTTCAAGAAAAGTATAGTGGTGTTAAAGCCTTTATATATTTAAGGTAGTCAACTCACAGAAACTGTGAAATGTATATCTAGTGAAACATAACTGAATTGAGAACAAAAGAAGCAAGAGAAAATCAACTAATTACATCTGTATCTTAACATTATTTGTATCTTGATTATCTGCACCAATGGAAGGGATTGGCTATAGAAAATCACATATAATCTATTTAGTGGGACTGGGTCCATGGCCTTGTGCCTAGTAGCTGAATTTCTAATTGCCCAGTGTAACTTACTGCAAATGTGTTGTGAGGATGCCCATCACCAGAAGAGTGGCCACAGATACATAATTTTGTTTCTGGAAGCAATTCCTAGGTTAAACAAAGAGAATCAGGAGTTGGCTTTTTTTTCAATCTTAAGGCTTGTGCTAATAACGTACATTATCATTTTTAAAAATCATTTTTTGGAATTATTATCTTGGTAGGTCAAAATAGGGAAGAATATTCCATCATTGTCTCACAGTTAACCAGTATAGATTTTAAAAATAGAAATAATTTGGCAGATGGGAAGTTGAATATTTGGACCATAATAAATTAACCCATAACCAAAAAATCCACTGATTATGTACCATGATACTGCTGTAGGAACCTTACTTCCCACTTGTAAGCTAAGAATCATAAATACTCCTATATATTTAAATGACACTGCAATTTTGGTGTATGGGATGTTATTTGTTCTTAAAATGTAATCATCAATAATTTTGAAAAAGCAAACCTCTGACTTGTAATCAATTGTAACCAGTACAAATGAACATAAATCCTGTCCTACCATGTCATGTGAGAACAATCACAATAATTTATTTAAATAAACTGCTGTGGTTATGCATTATTATATAAAAATTATTGCCACTAAAATGTATCTAAGACTATGCAACCAACCTCCATAATATCTGTTAAAACCTGTTGAATTGTACCATTTGCATTGAAAACTACTCTATATACTCAAATGTATAGTTTGCATTTTTATCTGTAAAAGCAAAGTGATTATTTATTGATAAATGACATGGAATGTCATTTTTTACCTAAGTAGCATTAGACATTTCAAAGATTTTGTCTGAAGGGCAAAAGGATTACACTGCATTTGAATAGACCATGTGACAACACATCCTTAGACTTCATGTATGATATGAAAGGATGATCCCCATTCATAAGATACACAAGGGAAATTATAACTATACCAGAAAAGAAGAAAAGCAAGGAGGGATGTGTTAAGGGTGTCAGGGAGTATTTGTAGTGGTTTGATGCATGTAAATATTACATCTTATAAATAATTCTTTTCAAATACATCTATGAAGTTCAGAGGTTATGTTTAAGAAATGGATTGTATATGCTTTACATGACTACATGCCATTTTCTTGAAGATAAGAGCAACATTAATTCAAACAGGAAAAATGGCTTCCAAAATATCCTTTTCCCTCTGTTTCTTAGGAAGAAGTATGTCACCTGATGCTAGCAGATGAAGACTGGGGGGAAATTGTTCAAGTTGTATTTTGCTGCCAGAATTCAACAAATACATTTTCATCTAAATTATTTTGTCAACAGCCTTGTGCTACTCTTGCTAACCTTATTTGGCACCAGTGCATAATTAGATACACAGGGGTGTGACTCCAATTGAAGGTGTTGGCATTGTAGCACTCTGTGAAAATATTAACTATGAGGTTAACTCCAATTTTCTCTTCTTTAATTAAATGCACATGGTACTAATGAGGTAACCTACTGTTCCTTGATAGCACTAATTAGCTAAGAGGAGAGTACACTCTCACACTGCAATTTAAACCTAAAAATAAGGTTGAAATATGCTAATTGCAGGCAATTTAAAACAGTACAAGTTGAAGAACTAGTCATAATAAGAGAAACTGACTGCTTTACAGCTAGGCAGCTGTAACTTTCGTTAAAATCAAAACAAGCCACACGATTTTTGGACTGCTATTTAACAAGGTCATAAGCATCCTTAAAAAATGAAATGCTATTCCATACCATAACAATAAACCATACTAACACTAATAAAGCCCACAGATAGACGCTCATTTACATAAAAAATAAGTGATTGTCACAATAACTCCAAATCTGCCGTGACACTGTTTATATTTAATACTGAAAATTAAACTCTATAAATAAGCAACACCACCTTAAATTATTTCACAAGCACCTATGTTAAATAAAATATCATAATTTGTGTCTCCAGCATTAACAAAACATGTTGGGATCCTGGAGTTTTGTCATCCCAGTCAGGTCAGAAGGTGATACAAGAATAAGTCTCACTCCTGGAGGAGTACATAAACAGGAAATATTGAGATAATGTACAAGTACAGTAATAAAAATAAATAAAAATACTATGGAATAAAAGCATACAGTTAATGCTACTGATCCCTTAAACATAAACATCCCTTAAATGGTAATTTAAGGGATACAGGTGCCAAAATATTAGAAGGATTTCATTAAAAAAGAGGTTTTCATTAGAATTCGTCTAGTTTTGTAGCTTTGGGATGGAAGCTGCCTGAGGCTTCACCGTGAGAATGTTCCCCATTTTTAGCTCAACTGACTCAGAAACATAATTTCATAAACCTAACCATATTTCAAACATATCTTCTTTAGTTACTATCTCAAATATTTCCCAAATTTTAACGAAACGATAACCTTGACAAAAAACAAACAAACAAAAACAAAACAAAATAACCCCCCCCCAAAAAAAAACCCACAAGACCATGAAGAACCTTTTCATTCATCCACAATGATATATTTGGATTGGTACACAGTATATACTCATTATTTTTCGATTCCCTAAAATCTATGATATATCTTATTTTTATCAACCAGAAACACTGACTAACCAAAACACTCCTATCAAATTATTCCTGCTAACATAGAGAGAAATAAAGCATATTAAAATGATACTGTCATTAATCTATCCATAGGAACAAGAGACACAGAACTGCCACCGACACTGAGGGCTCATAGTGACATTTCTCTGTCCCTGTCACTCTGCATGCAAAATTATGAAACATAACAGTTAAACAATCAATAAAAATAAAGAGTTAAAAGGCAAAATTTGTGAAAAGAGAAAGTCAAATTAATCTAAACTTTACTGAAGAACAATAACTTAGAAGTAAAATAATCTATTGAAAGGCAAATGCTTTTAAGTAACTCTCAATAGTTTCTGCAACTGAAAGTATGTGAGAATAAACTTTGCACTATCATTAGCCCATCATCATATCTTGCCAACAGGTTTGGTTGAAGAAATTGTGCTTTGAAAACCCCACCCAGTTTCTTCTCATGGCTTCCCTAAAGCTTTCTATGACAGGCAGAGACAGAATGTTGGTAAGAGATGCAATAAAACTCTGATCAACCATGCTTTAACAGAACCATGAAGCCGCAGGTTTGTAAAGAAGTAGCAAGATGAATAAAATCAGACAGTCATTTAGAAATGGATCTCCGGGAGGCAACCTGACATAACTCCAGCAAATCACAAGGAAACACAATGTGAATGGATATTTTAAGTGTTTGCATCTGTTTCTAATAAGCACCAAAGAATCTTTTAAGAGTGAAAAGGCCACACAATGTACTGGAATGGACTTTCAACATTAACTTCAGAAGGAATCTATTCTTCAATTAAATGTGAATCATTGTAATTTTTCTTTTAAAACAATAAAGAGTAAGTCATTTAGTGCTGAACATAAGAATGCTGGCTCTGGAGATAGTATGCTGAGCTTCAGATCTTACACTTAATAGTGGTGTGACCTTGAGCAAAATACTTAGCTTCTCCTGTCCTCTCTCTCTAGACAGAGGATAATAAGTAACATCATCATATGGTTATTAAATATGTTCAATTGTAAAGTAATTAGAACAGTGCTGATACCCATATACTTAACATTTATTAGCTATATACTTATTTGTTAGCTGTCATTATTGCTTCAAAATAGTACTCAATTTTCAGATAAAAAGAATTATTGTTTCTACTATGTATAAAATGCTATTACATATTATAAAGGTTACAAAAATTCCCAAGACATTGTATCTGTCTTCAACTTATCAGTAGACTTCATGATACATACTAAAGACTCTCCTATATGAGTAAAGAAATATTTTTTTCCTTTTAGAAACCTGGTGCAGCAAAGCAAGACGTTAATATAGGTGTGTTCATATTTAGTGATAAGGTGAAATGACTTGTAAGAAAAATAATATTTTTTGCAAGGTTGATGAAGTGTAATTTTCATACAAAAATATATAATATATACATGGTATTAATATTATATATTGATCTTTCCTAACAAATGAAAATATTTTAAATTATTTAATATAACTTGTTTCTTGAGGTTGGTTGAAAGGATCCTCAAATTTTTCTTTAACATGTTTAAAACTTTAGTGTCTTATAATATTTAGGATAAAATAATATCTGAATGGAATAGTGGTTGTCTTAGTACATTTATGTTGCTGTAAAGGAATACATGAGGCTGAGTAATTTATAAGGAAAAGAGGTTTATTTGGCTCATAGTTTTGCACGCTGTACAAGAAGCATGGTGCTGGCATCTGCATCTGGTGAGGGCCTCAAGTGGCTTCCACTCATAGCAGAAGGGGAAGGGGAAACACGTGTGTAGAAATCACGTGGTGAGAGAGGAAACAAGAGTGAAGGAGGTGCCAGACTCTTTTTTACAACCAGCTCTGTGGGAACTAGTAGAGTGAGAGATCACTCACCATCACAAGGATGGCACCAAGACATTCATGAGGAATCCACTCTCATGACCCAAACACCTCCCGTGAGGCCCCACCTCCAACACTGGGGGTCAAATTTCAACATGAGATTTGGAGGAAAAATATCCAAGCTATAGGAGTGGTCTACATTTTAAAAGTGAAAAAATGAAAACATCAATGTTCAGCTAGTCAAGAAGTATGAACATTCTTCACGTTATAAAACAAATCAAACTTTAAAACAATAACAAAAACAAATGGTTGATTTGCCTTTCTGCCCCTCCAACTGTTTTGTTGTGTTTGCTGATTTGATGGCTTGTTTTTAGGACATCCATCATATCTGATGGAAACTGTCCCAGGGACAATGTAGCTATTGGGTTGTGCCAGGATAACACATTTTAGCTTTGCAAATTCATACAACTTCATCCTTCTCCAGTCCATTTCTGAAAAACAAATTTTAAATTGCCTAGGTCAGACAGAGAAGATGAAGAAAAGAGAAATCATACTTGAAAACTGTCTTGAGTATTCCACAAGACAAGTGGATCACAGAAGTTGTTCTCTTGTTTGGAGTCAGTCAACAAGAACCAGAGATTACGTATCTCAGAGGACCAAATCTAAGTAAGTGCATGCCTAAAAAATTTTCATTCTTTATTCTGATATAGTTAGCCTTGTCTTACTTTCTTTTGTGACACAGACTCCAAGACCTGTACAACATTGAGAAGATGGTGGTGTGGACTGAGGAAGGAAAGGAAGTCCAGGGAGATAAAATTATTTGTAAAAAGTTATGCTTTTATTTACTTATTTTGAGGCTACTGTGTATCACATATCTGACTATACAGGTTCCCAAACTTAAGCATGTAAAATAATCTTTGGAGAAGCTTGTTATGATTGTGTATTCCAGGCTACTTTCCTAGAGATTCAGATTCATAAGATCTGGTATAGCGTCCAGGGATATGCATTTTAACAAGCATCTTGATTATTGTGGTTTAGAAGGTCTATGATCATACTTTGAGAAATATTGCCCTCTGTTCAGGATATTTGCATGACAGGTATTTTTTCCTTCTTTTAGTCCATTATTCACTTAGTCAACACTTTTCAGTACCTACTATGAGCTATAAACTATATTAGCCATGTGGATATAAAAAGGTGAATGAAAATGGTCCCTCCATCCAAAGGAGATTGGAAAATAAAAAAAGTCTTGTAAATTAGGATACAACAACATAAGTGCCATTTGCATGGACTCCTGATTTTTTTTTTGTTTTTCTTTTTTGTATCTGAACCTCTTTGGCAATCTGATAAAATCTAGAATAGCCTTCTCAGAAAAAAAAAAAATTGGTTGCATACAATAAAATAAGGCATTAGAAAAAAGAGAATTATATTGAGATTCAGTTCTCAAAATATTTAAAAAGCTACATTTGTGAAATATTAATGCTATTTATTAATGAATTAAATAAGATATAATAGTATATTTAATGAATTAATAAGATATAACAACCACCACAATTTTGAGTAATGGGCACAAATAACATTTCTAGATTTTTTTTTTTTTTTTTTGACAGGGCCTTGCTCTGTTGCCAAGGCTGGAGTGCAGTGGAGCAATCTTGGCTCACTGCAGCATCCACCACTTAGGATCAAGTAATCCTCTCACCTCAGTCTCCTGAGTAGCTGGGACTACAAGTGCATACCACCATGCTCACCTAATTTTCTTTGATTTTTGTAGAGACAGGGTCTCACTATATACTCCAGGCTGGTCTTGAACTCCTGGGCTCAAGTGATCCTCCCACCTCGGCCTCCCAAAGTGCTGAGATTATAGGTATGAGCCACTACACCTGGTCATATTTCTAGATATTTTTTATCAACTGTGATGAGATAGGAATATTTTTATAATTTCTATCACTGACAATGTCACAGATACTGTTAACAATACTGTGGTGTGTTGCCTACATTCCTATGAATATGTTGAGTTTCAATTGGGAATAAAAATAAGAATACTTTTTCTTCCATTAAAGTTCATAAACCTCCTGAATTCTATCCATGGATCCTAAGTTTTAAAGCCCCCATATTAGAGAGAAATGCATTGCTGAAGACGTAAAAAGTACAGTTTGACCATATTGAAAGAAGGCATTTTCTAGCTGGCTCCCAAGAAATGAGTAGGAATTCATTGCTTGGGAAAAAGAAGTAAAAAAAAACAGAAAGGGAGAATGCAAAAGGTTTAGGATTATGCCGACAATATGTGATAGTTTTGGTAGGAGTATGCTATAAATGGGGCCAGCTGCTGAGAGACAAGGCTAGAAAGATTAGGACTACGAAGAGTTTTGCAGATCAGGAATTAGTAGTGTTTTTTGTTTGTTTGTTTGTATGTTTGTTTTTTGACAAGTAGAAAGCATGAGGGTGTGGGTTCAGACTGGAATTGGCTGGCAGCCTAAGATTCCCAAAGATTCATTAGACAGTTACTTCTGGTAAGTGCCAAAGCAGTAGCAGTTACATGAAAAAAGGATACCCAATTTGAGGACCAGCTAACTTCTAAGGATTTGACGATTACCTGAGTGAGAGAGTAAAGGATAAGGGACGTTGGAAGCAGACTGTGATGCCACTAGAAAGACAGTAGAAACAAAGACGATTTTTCAAGAATGAAAGAGAATTTGGTTCATTTGGAAATAGTAAATGAGAAGTTGACTACTGAACATCTAGGTAGGTGTTTCTGGAAGACTTCTGGCTATACAAGACTTAAGTTCAGGTGACAAGACAAGAAATATAAAGCCCTGAGAATCAGCAACTTATGTAGTGGTAATACCACAGGGAGTGGATAAGTTCTGGCAGTGAGGTCATCTAAAGGAGTAGTTCTCAGCCCACCTTGTGGGTCAGCATCACACGCAGAGCTCTGTATATATAATGATGGTGGCATTCAACTTCCTGATTTAACTGGGCTTGGTGGAGACCAGGCATTTTAACAAATAAACATCCCAAGTAATGACAATATGCAGCCAGAGTTTTTGGACCACTGATATAAAAGTTAACAAAAAAAGTTGTAGGCAGGAGATGGGGAAAAGACAACAAAACACAAAGAAGAGGAATGTTAAGAGAAGTTGTATCAAAAGTCTCAAATGTTTTGACAGGATCTACTAAGGTAAGAATTGAATTCAACTCTCTGAAGTGGTCAGTCATATTCAATAGAACTATTTCAGAAAGGTAGTGATGTGGTTTGGCTATGTCCCTACCCAAATCTCATCTTGAATTGTAGTTCCCTTAATCCCCATGTGTCATGGGAGGGACCTGGTGGGAGGTAACTGAATCATGGGGGCAGGTATTTCCCATACTGTTCTCATGACAGTGAATAAGTCTCAAGAGATCTGATGGTTTTATAAAAGGGAGTGTCCCTGCACATGCTCTCTTCCCTGCTGCTATGTAAGATGTGCCTTTACTCCTCCTCTTCCTTCCACCATGATTGTGAGGCCTCCCCAGCCATGTGGAACTGTGAGTCCATTAAATCTCTTTTGCTTTGTAAGTTACCCAGTCTCAGGTATGTCTTTACTAGCAGCGTGAGGACAGAGTAATACAGGTAGTAAGGAAAGAAAACAAGGTATAATGTGTCAAAAAAGGAATGGAAGATAAGTGTAAACAATTCTTTCTAATGGCCTAATGATGAAGAAAAAAAAAACAGGGTTAAGATAATTGTCTGATATAAAACTAATATGGACATATGAATGTGATTTTGTTTAATTGGTTTTTGTTTTTAAAGGTGGGAAGGGAAGGCACACAGAGAAATGGGAGACTGAAGACATAGGAATGAAGACGTGCAGCTGACAAGACAAGGTTCTGGAAGAGGTGGAAAGGGGTAGGTATCATGCACAGGAAGAGAAATTGGCCTTGGAGAGAAATCTCATTATGATACAAAGGGATATAATCAGAGATGCTAATATAAGTTTGTTTTGGGAGTAGAGATGAGAGAGGCAGAGGGAGTTCTTGCCTGGTGGCCTCTAAATTTTTTCTCTGAAGTAGAAGGTGAAGTCACTGACAACAGGGAAACAGGTGTGACTTAAGTGCTTTAAGGGTACAGTGAAGGCTAGAAACTGATGCAGGGAGAGAGGCAGAGTAAGGTGTCTAGAGACTTGTGAAACAATTGCTAAACATCAGTGAACACTAGCCTAAAGTCAGAGAACCAATACTGCCTGATATTGTGATTCTCTATAGGAATACTCAGTAGCTTGCTTAGGAGTAGGAATAAGAAAAGCCACAGCTTGGGAAATGGAAGAACAAATGCTGCAGCAGGGTCAGAAAGGATGATTCAGAATAGTGAAAGTGTTTAAGGTCATCCTTAATCATGGGATACAACATGATCAGGAAGAAGTCCAGGTGGGTGGAGGTGGTGGTGGGCTATATGTGGGAATAACAAGAGAGTATGGTGCAAGAGAACATAGTGCGCAGAATGGGAATTCCTTAGGTCCACCAATTCAAAGTGATTTTAAAGAACCGGTCCAAGTTAGACATGGTGGCCCATGTCTGTAATCCCAGCACTCTGGGAAGCTGAGGTAGGAGAATGACTTGAGCCCAGGAGTTAGAAGCTGTTGTAAACTATGATCATGCTACTGCACTCCAGCATGGGCTATAGAGAAAGACCATGTCTCAAAAAACAAACAAACAAAACCCAACACCAAAAACAACAAAAAAGATAGGTCCAAGGTCATGGAGAACATTTTTAAAGGAATCGATTCATGAATGTTTATAATTTTTATGTTTGTTTTCTTCATGGATTAGTGTAAAGTTTTAAAAGCAGTATATTTTCTTTTACCTGTTAAGTACACGCGTGACAGGTGCCATTCATTGCTAACAAACTCAACATGAAGATCCAAATTTACAAAATTAAATAAGAGATTACTATTTCCTTAAGAGAAGAAATTATTCAAATTAAAAGAGTAGTTTAGACAGTATTTATTTAAATAAAAGGCAAACTTCTTTAAAATACATTTGATTTTTTAATAATCTTTAGGAAGATACTGCATAGATTGAGGTATAATTGCATAAATTAGTGAGTCTTCACACACAAATACATTACTTGGTGCTATTGTCCAGTAGTTTTCTATTGTCTTGAGTTTCCTTGGTGTTGAAAGAGTAAAATTCTTCGAGAAAAAAAAATTGATATTAAAACAAGGCTGCAGTCTAGTAGCAAACCAACTCAAAGTTAACATAGACGAAATCTGTTGATATTGCCTACCCAGCATATACTTCTCTATTTGTTAATAGCACCATTTTTTTCTTTGGGGACTACCTTAATTCTGTACCCAATTACATGCAAATTGGTGGGACCGGCCCAAGGGCGGGTGATACAAGTTAGGCCAATTAAATTCCCTCTCCCAAGAACTTGATTTTTGAGGTATGTGACATGTGCATAATAAACAACAGGATTTCATCGAATCCAGTGACAGGTATGCAAGCAGCCTATTAGATTCTGCTCTGCTTTTTGCTCCTTCTGAGACCAGATTTTTGCTTAGCTTTGCCTTGTATTTTGTAAGCAACTCTATATCCTTTGAATAAAGTCTACTATTATTTTTTAAAGATCTCTGTGACTTGAAATCAAAGTTAAAATTAACAAGATAAATTTAATATACATATTTCAGTCAATAATCATACTGTCAAAATTAGGATTAAATGTTAATAGCTTTTTGGACGAATTTTGGGTTACAATCCATTTATATGGAACAGACCAAAGATAAGACTAAAAGTCATGATCTTGCCCTCATTTTTCATTGTTTGCAAACTTAAGTGAAGTAATTAAAAATTGCTATTATAATTTCAGTTCTTTTTTTTGGCGGAGGCGGGGGAACAGGGTCTTGCTCTGTCACCCAGGCTGGTGTGCAGTGGCACAATCTCAACTCACTGCAACTGCTGCCTCCTGAGCTCAAGCAATTCTTGTGCCTCTGCCTCCCAAGTAGTTGAGATTATAGGTGTGTGCCACCATGCCTGGCTAATTTTTTAGTATTTTTAGTATTTTTAACATTTTTAGGTTTCCCTATGTTGGCCAGGCTGGTCTCAAACTCCTGGCCTCAGGGGATCCACCCGCCTCTGCATCCCAAAGTGCTGGGATTACAGGTGTGAGACACTGCACCTGGCCATAATTTCACTTTTATAAATATATTCTTCCATCCCTAAAATATCAGCTTGTATAATCAGACTTTACATTGTACAAAGCACAACTTAATATGTAAAAACGGCAAAATAAAACTTGGGGTTAAATACAAGATAGCAACACAGCACAGTTTATTAATGGGTGTTTGCATATTTTATTTTTATCATAATTTAACACTATATACTCATTCCACTTTTCTTCTTTAATGGATTCTAAATTTAAAATAACACTTTTCTTTTTATTAAAAGAAAGGCTAGCTTAACAAAGAAAGTTTAGTGGCAGCCACTGTCCCAATGCAGATACCATAGGTATTTGAAGGATTTGAGATTTTAAAGTACTTCATATTAACCTATTAAATCCATTGACGTTCCTAAAGTAAGATTTTAAATTAATTTTAAAATGAGATTTTTTTTTTTTTTTAAGATGGAATCTTGCTCTGTCGCCCAGGCTGGAGTGCAGTGGCACGATATTGGCTCACTGCAAGCTCTGCCTGCCAGGTTCACGCCATTCTCCTGACTCAGCCTCCTGAGTAGCTGGGACTACAGGCGCCGGCCACCACGCCTGGCTAATTTTTTTGTGGTGTTTTTTTTAGTAGAGACGGGGTTTCACCGTGTTAGCCAGTATGGTCTCGATCTCCTGACCTCGTGATCTGCCCGCCTTGGCCTCCCAAAGTGCTGGGATTACAGGCGTGAGCCACCGCGCCCAGCCAAAATAAGATAGTTTAAGATTAAAAAGGAATTAACAAGAGTTACAGAATATAACAGTGTCAAGTTCAGATTTTTCACCCTGTTTTTAGTCAATCCCCTTCTTTTTCACTTCAAAAAGCTGCTATCATAGCTGGCACTAATTGGCACCCTTGTTAGAAATCGCAGTAGAGAAGCCAATAACAGAAAGAGGATATGGACACCTCTTATCCAGAATCCAGGCTGTCTCCACAGATAGGTAAGGCTGAAATCAAGGAAAGGGCAGATGACATGGCTGTTGTCTGTGAGCAGGCTAAGATCTACACCTGTTCACTGTGTACATATACAACTTGAATTTGCAGGAATGCTAATCAAGTATCTTTCATGTGTCTAAAATCACTGAAAAACAAAAGATGTGCATAGTGCTCCTGTAAGTGATATAGTTATTATATTTTGAGAGAGCATGAGGGCAGCAGTCAACAGGTGCTTCTGACATGAGATATCCCTGCAGAGTACTTATGGACTACTGCATTTTTGTTTACTTGTATGCATGTTTGCTTTATTCAAGAGTTTAAGCGTTTTTGAAAAAAAATAGGTAGCTGGATTTCTTATGAACATTTGGAGAGTGAAAGAAAAAAATTTAACATATATAATAATTATTTAATAGACAAAACAAACAGATTTAATGTATACATTGCCATCTCAGTTCTGTGGGACACTACAGAACACCAACCACTAGGTTAAGAATCAGCTGCAAAGTCAAGTAGGAGCCACTAACCTCAAGAATGCACAGACGAATCAGGAAGGCAAACTATTAGTGATGAGTTTCATATTAAGTATTATACTATGACAGACGTATGCACTGGTGAAAAGGAAGCATAGAGAAAGGGTTCTTACAGGGCAGATGAGATAATAAAGGACTCTAGGTAAGAATAAATGGACATTAGTATACAAATGGAGACGGGGTGGGGTAAAGATGAAGAACATTTAAGACTAAAGAAGTAGACATCATAAAGGCTTGAAGGTGTCTGACCCCCTGATGTATTCTGAGAAGCAGAGACAGTCCCATAAAGTCAAACAAATTAATTTTAGGGAAGAAGGGTGGTAGGGTAGGGTTGGGGACAGAAAGAGAAGCAAAAACCAGCTCTTCAAGAGCCCCATATAAAGCAAAGTGGCTTTTGTGAACTTCAGATTTCTCATTTTTGTGTACACCACCTGTCTTTTCTCTTGGAGGATAAATGAAAGTTCAAATACATAAAAAGATTTCTGACATATCTGGAGTCCTATTAGTGTTATCCTCAAGAAGTAACTATGAAGAATGCAGAATGAGACAAGATACTGTTTTAAATAAAGATTTAATGGTAATTTCTTGATGGCAAGCAATAACTTTTTGTTTCTATAAACTCTACCTCCTCTTTCTTCCAGTTGATACCCCATGACTTCATACGTGTTTTATTACTTAATATTCTTTCTTAGATTCCTCAAATACACTAGTAATCTCTAGTATATTAAAAGTCAGGGCTGGGTGCAGTGCCTCACGCCTGTAATCCCAGCACTTTGGGAGGCCAAGGTGGGTGGATCACGAGGTCAGGAGTTCAAGACCAGCCTGGCCAAGATGGTGAAACCCCATCTCTACTAAAAATACAAAAATTAGCCAGGTGTGGTGGTGGGCACCTGTAATCCCAGCTACTTGGGAGGCTGACACAGAGAACTGCTTGAACCCGGGAGGCAGAGGTTACAGTGAGCTGAGATCGGGCCACTGCACACCAGCCTGGGCGACAGAGCAGGACTCCATCTCTAAATAAATAAATAAATAAATAAATAAATAAATAAATAAAGTCAGTTCAGTGTCAAAATTCTTGTTGCAAAATTCTGCTTTTGAGAACAGAAGAGTACTACAATATAACTTATCTGAATTGCATTGCCATTAGAGATACAAAAATAAATTTTGTAGTACCAAGCATAAAGTAAGAAAATAATTTGACATGGTAGTACATTTTCATTTGTAGGAAAGTTTTGTGATAAACTGAATAAGAAAATTTTGAAAACAATCTTAACTCAATTTTATAATGCAGCACTAATTAGGAAGTGAAATCGACATTTTAAAATTTGGGAGTCAGAAAAAAATACTTCTTATTATATTTAACATGAATATTGCCCCTTTCTTTCCTATTTAGAGCATTCAGAGCATAATTTCACAGATGATATATATTTGTCTTAATGCGATTTTCAGACTACATCTAATGGAAAATGCCTGGTTAGGATTAAGAGACATAGTACAGATGTAAAACTACATTTGCATGCAATTATTTCTAAAACAAATGCCAGGGTACAGAATCTACTGAAATGGCTTTCAGGATGGCTGGCACAACATATTAAACCAGCTTCCAATCTCTGAGTAAGTCTATATTCTGAATATTTCAAATCAAGACACTGAGCACAGAACAACCTTAGATTTTCCACCTTGACTCATTGTCCAACAATGTATGAAAACAGGGTTTGAGCCCAAGAATTTAATGTAGAGATTTATTAATTTTCAAGCAAAAGTCTTTCTTGCTTAATGTAAAAACTGTATTTTACATATTAATTTCAAGAAATGAAAAATAAAATTACTAAAAAAAGGAAAATAATATAGTAGGCAGAATAAAACAGCATAGTAACAGAGTAGATGTATTATATAGCATTTAGCTTGTTTTACAGTTTTTTCAAAAAACAATACAAAAGATCTTTAAAGTTACTAATTTTTTCTTAATAGAAATCTCACTGTATCTGATATTCTTATAGAGATATACTTTTAAGCAATAAACTAGAAAAAACTATTCAAAATAATTCTGAAGTGCATTTGTTGTGAACTTAATCAGAAAGCTTATCAGCATCAATAAATGCTGTGCTTATATAGGGTATTATGCTTTCATAGAAGAACTGACCATGGATGTCCTCAGAGTTTGTGGATGAGGCAAACCCTTTAATTACTTTTTGGTGGTCTTTTCCATTGGAATGTATTTTTGGATTAGAACTTGATTCAATGAATGAAGCATGAAGATTCACTGCAATATCTATTATATGTAAAGAAAAACACTATCATATTATAATTTTTTTCCAAATTCACAAAGTACCAGCATCTCTTTTACTGTATGCTTTACTCCTTAGGGGGGAGCAATTCAGATTATGATCACCCCTAGGAATGTATGCAGGGACTGGAGGATGTGGTAGTTCCTTTTCTGATCCCTGCAGGGGAAGCAGCAGCAGCCCTTGGATCAGCTTCTGCTTATCTGGTGTTGGTCTCAGTGGCAGCTCCTTTTCTTGCCAATAAGGATAAATGAGGAATAGAGACTGCATGTAGCATATACAGAAGCTTATCTTGTTGGCATCTCTGATTATGATTTGGTCCCTATAAGCCTCTTACCCCTCCTCATTTTGATGTGATGTAGGGGGAAGAAACCTGGAGGAAGAGGACTAGTGATTTAAAAACTAAAACTCCAGCAAAAAACTTCTTACCATTTGACATGAAAATTCTCATGATGCCAAGAAAACTCCAGTAGTAGTAGTCCATCACTGCCATTTGCTTTTTCTTTCATATTAAAAGTTATCTCATATATTGCTGAGTAAACATCTAATTTCATTACCAAGTCCACTGCCATGTCAGCAGTGGTTCCTGACAGGTAGAGATGAGGGAGGTATAGAAGACAAGGGAATAAAGAGATTCAGAGTCATTCCTGTAGAATCTTCTATTCGTAGTGATGATGGAGATCCCCTCCATGGTGGAGCCATGTAACTTTCATCCCTTCCTTTTCTCTATCTTTTTGTTTGTTTTTTTGTTTGTTTGTTTTTGAGACAGTCTTGCTCTGTTGCCCAGGCTGGAGTGCAGTGGTGTATTCTTGGCTCACTGTAACCTCCACCTCCTGGGTTCAAGTGACTCTCCTGCCTCAGCCTCCCGTGTAGCTGGGATGACAGGCATGTAACACCACACCTGGCTAATTTTTGTATTTTTAGTAGAGACGGGGTTTCACCATGTTGGTCAGGCTGGTCTCGAACTCCTGACCTCAGGTGATCTGCCCGCCTCAGTCTCCCAAAGTGCTGAGATTACAGGCATGAGCCACTGTGCCCAGCCCCTTTGCTCTATCTTAACCACAAAACAATATACCTGGGTTTCATAAAATGAAGACATTCAAGAAAAGATAATATTCACATGTAATACCTTGTCATCCCCTTGTCATTACTTTGATCTCATTTTCTAAAAATGAAAATGAAAAACCTGAACAGCAACTAAGAGGCACTATATTATCTGTAACAAAGGAGTAAAAGGCACATGGTTTCGAATCAGACTGACTTGAATTCACTTCCAGCTCAAACTACCAGCTACTTGACTGTAGATAATGTAATTTAACCTTTCTAAGCCTCAGGTGCCTATTCTGTGAAATGAAAGAGCATAAATAAATACATTACCAGGTACACAAAGTAAGCACTAAATATATGCTACCAAAGCAAATTAAAATTATAAATGCTTCAGGATCTCTGTTTTATTAGAGAAAAAAGTATTAAAAAAGTAATGGGAACATCTGACTTGTGAAACCTCTCTGGTTGATTCCTTGGTCTTCTTTTTCGCTGGCCCTAGTCACGCATGTAGATATGATGACTCATACTACTTGTCATTAAAGAGCCTAGAAGACTAGCCAGGGACTAAGAGGAAGCCCTTTTTTAGATACACGTGTCTGAATCCTGACATTAGGCAATCACAAAATCATCATACAGATACGTGGATGAACTAGTAGTAAAACGCAAAACACCAAAATTAGAATTTAAGCATTTTTAACATTAAAATACTATTGAAAGTAACTAGATGCTATGAAAAAAAATTAGTATTAAAATAAATGTAATGCAATTTCTGGAAAGAACTTAATTTATTGACAGTTTAGATCTATAAAGATGAAAAGCTAATATGAGTTCTAAATTAGAAAATATGTTAGGAGATCAAAAGCTATCATTGTAATCACTACCTACCACAATAAAAGAAAATAGTAGTCCAGAATCAACTTAAATTTTCAAAAAATCATAATGATTATACACATACTAAAAATAATACAGAATTGTCATTTTTACATATAAATAAGTTTACTGGGAAAGAAAATGTCAAATTTTAGAACTGTGTTACTATTAGAAATTACTCATTTCTAAGGCAGAACCAAGTTTCATTAGCCAATAGCTGCTCTGAAGAATAAAGCTAATTTACATTTAAAATAGAAGTACAGTCTACTCTTTAAAAGCACAATGGTAAACACACCAATTTGACAATTACATTAATATGAGTATTTGCATAATCTGTTTTCTACACCTGTTCTTAATTTGAAGCAGCTGCAAGACAAATCATATCACACTAATCTGAAAGGGCATTTGGATGTTCCAAACAGTAATCCATACATCTAATGTTTTGAAGATATTTTATTTTTTAAATGTTTCCTGACCCTAAAAATGGTAAAAATTTTTAGAAGCCATATTTAAAATTTGGTTAATATTAAAGAGGAATAAGCATAATACCAAATAATGCTATCCCTTACATTTTTGGTATCCTCTGTTATTGACATAATAATAGAGATTTTTATTTCTAGAGGTTTTTAAGTAATATGTATTTTGTTTATATGAAAAAGATTTAAAAGCACAATAAAAATATACCTAGAAAACATCAATAAGGAATGCAATCAGATGATCAATAGCAAATCCATTAATGAAGAACAGAGCAAAATTCTATAGATTATCTGAAAGTGTGTTTGCAGCATAGATCATTGTGGTATCTTTTTGATATTTCCTTTTTCAAAACTGGATTCCATTTATGTTTAGCAAATATTTCAAAATTTAATAAACAGAACTTTACTTTCATCTTTTAAAGGATCCAGCTTGTTTTTATGTGTATTCAAACACATACTCAGAGCTATCAAAAGGAAGTCAGTTTATTATTGTTACATATTCTTCTAGTTCATATACTTAAATTATTCAGCTAGATTCTAGCTGGTGGAATATAAGATGTAATCTGTCAACAAAACTGTCTCTCTTTAATCTTCTATTGTGAAAAGAAAATGAAGTTATAGATTTCTAAAGATGTTATTTATTTCTTGAAAAATTAATGAGAGCATGTACATTAATGAACTGGAGCAACAAAGGAAGTCAATGTGTTTAAGTGATGTTGAAGTCTGAAGAGGTAAACATTAAATGGCTGAATTCTTAGTTCAGTATTTCATTCAGAATTTTATTTTTACAAGAGCTCAGATAGTATGTGAAAAATAAAATACTAAACAAAATAATTGAAGTTTACATTTCTAAGACATTTTCATGTATATTATGCAGCAATCCTCATCACGTAAGAGAAAACTGAGGCTCAGGAGAGTTAAAGAACTTGCCAAGTGCTCGCATTTTGTAACAGGTTAAGACTTGGGTATCCTAACTCCAGCTCTATATTCGTTTCCATAACTCACTGATGTTTGTTTGAATGAAGAGCAGCTATTACAATAAATAAATAGGATCAAGGGTTTTTCCTAAAATACTTTGTCAGTTTTTTTTTAATTTCACAGTATCTAAAATGCTTCCACACATGGCTTCAAACATACTAGGGAAATACTGTTTCAAAAGTGACTGGGAGAGAGAACTATTTTCTATTTAGATAAATGTATTGCAATCTCTTACCAAGAACAGACTGGTTACTCTAGGAGTATAAAAACAATTTTTATTACTATATAATTTAGGCGATAAAGCTAAGTTATAGTGATTGTGAGAAAAGCAATTTTCACAGTCCTGACCTCTATATAATTATATTTCTAAATATTCCTTATTTTATTTTTCTTCATTAAAAACCTTACATATATAATTGAACACACAGAAAAGTACTCTAAACAGATAAGCTGGCATGTCATAGGGGTATGTGGAACATAATGGAATAACGTATGTAATGAATATGGACATTGTATTATATCCAACAACAAATTTCACTTTTTCTTCGAGTATCAGAATATTTTAACCTGAATAAATGAGTAATAAACTTCCAACTTTTAAAATAATCTTGCTTCTTCTTGTTTTTGCTGATAAGGGGAAAACTAACTCATTATCAAAGTTAAAACTTTTGGCATATAACACATAAAAAAGGATAATTTTTTGTAAATATATGTTACTGAGAAGGTATACTCTTTTACTATAATAAAGCATTGAGATAACAAAATTTTAGAGCTTGAGTCACGTCTTCCCAGTTGACAGAAAAAGGCAATGAGGCGATAGAACCGAATTGCCCTCCTGAAGGTCATACAGTCAGTAAATGGTGGAGTCAAACCTTGAACCCAGTGCCTCTCCCAAATAGCACAGAGGCTTATCTCTTACCTTTATTATAAAGCATGAAGGGAATACCAGCAGGTCATTTAAAAGATGTTCTTGCTTTTCCATGGTCCTAAAGTAAGCTATACCCTAAACATCAATCTCACATTTAAAAATAGCTACAAAATATGAAACTACATACATTTCTAGCCTGGCTTGATGATCCCTCATGAATGTACGCACAAATTCTGATAACATCAATGTAAAATATGTGTTAACAGTATCAGTGGGAGGTTGAAGTTCAAGTGAATTTCAATTCTTCATAGTTTTCTGTATTGCCTGGATTATTTTTGAAAGCACATATTGTTTTGTTAATCACTAGAAATAAGGCTATTTTCAAATAGAACAAAGAACAGTAGTTATAAATATTTGTCATAAAACGTACTCTTAGATACCTTTGCTAGTATGAGGGTCCACCTTACAAGTATTCTGATTTTTCTCATGTTAAAACAGCACCTATTACTCTAGTGTTAGTCTCAGTAATGAAGAAAAATAAATACCTGCCACTCTTAGCATGATAATCTTTTTAATGTAAAAAAATTATTAAAATACTTTTCTACATTTTTCTCTCTCTTTTTTTAAAAAATATCTGGTAACCCTTTTGTGATACTCTCCCATTTTCCTTTTAATCACCTCTAATCATATTACTTACCTCAGACTTGTTTTCATACTTAAATATCCCTTTTAAATTCTGGAACTCAGACCTAAATAAGTTTTAAAGAACCACAAACAAAGCCTCTGGAGGCAGAAAAATGAAGACTAGCTTATTCTGCTCATCTGTAAGTGATGGGTAATTCACTAAACACAAAAAAGAGAAACCCAATTTATTCCATAGAACACTCTAAAAAGCCATAACTGTCAAGCAGTTTTTTTTTAACCTCAAACCACGAGTTTTGTTTAAAATGGCTTAGAAGAATGGTTATTATTCTGAATTTTTATCTAGCCAGATTGTCAACTCCCTGAGGATAGGAACATCTTTGAATCCCCTATGGTACCTGGTGTCTGCCTGGCAAAGTGTCTAACATACCGAGGGCATTTAGTCATGTTTCTTTGATGGATTGATTGAGAATATAAATTCTAATACATGGAAATACTGTAAAACAGTTTTGCAAATCATGCTGCTGTTTTGTGTGTAGTTTGTGGTTTTTCCTCTGGAGCATGATAATCATTTGTTTCACATGAAATTCTGTGGATTAGCTTTTCAATTTATTTCTACAATTCTCCTGAACTCTCTTTCTAGTACATAAATATCTACTTGTATGGAATATCAAGCAAAAAGGTAGAAAAAAAGATTTATTAGCCACTTCTGCTTTAGTCTAGCAGTATTGGAAATTATTGTATGGAAACGCCAAATAACATAACCATATCAAACACTAACATAATTATTTCTTATTTGGTTCTCAAAAAATATTGCTTACTATCAATTATTCTTAGAACAGATGTTTCTTTTAAAGTAATTTGCATTAGCATGATACTGTAAATTAAGGCTATTTTGACTATTTAGTGATGGTAACATACATCTTAGCACTGAGTAACCCATTTATCAGTGCTCCATCAAGAACTTTACCATAATGCACATTGCTTCCAACAAGTTCTGATGCCCTCAAGGAACCAGAAATCACTAGAGTGTATCAGAGTCTCATGCATATGTATATGTATTTCTGTACTTCATTGAATAACTTCAATGTTCTAGCATTTAACAAAGGGGTTGCAATATGGAGCTTGAAGACCAGATTAAACAGTGGGCTGATTTTTTGTTTGTTTTTGACTTGTGCAATGAAAGAAAGAAAGAGAGAGAGAAAAGGTGGGAGAGAGGGAGGTTGGAAGAAAGAAATACCTTCTTCAAAAGAAAGATGAGGCCGGGTGCGGTGGCTCACGCCTGTAATCCCAGCACTTTGGGAGGCCGAGGCAGGTGGATCACGAGGTCAAGGGATCGAGACCATCCTGGCTAACACGGTGAAACCCCGTCTCTACTAAAAATACAAAAATTAGCCGGGCGTGGTGGAGGGCGCCTGTAGTCCCAGCTACTCAGGAGGCTGAGGCAGGAGAATGGCGTCAACCCAGGAGGCGGAGCTTGCAGTGAGCCGAGATCGCACCACTGCACTCCAGCCTGGGCGACAGAGCGAGACTCCATCTCAAAAAAAAAAAAAAAAAAAAAAAGAAAAGAAAGGAAGATGAGCTCTCAATGTACAACATATTTCCCTCTCCTCATTACCTTGCACCCAGTCTACCATATACCTGCCTTGGTATTAAGAGTTTAACTTACTGGCCTATGAGACACAAAATGCCTTACTGCAAATAAATATTAAAATTAAAGTTAGAAGAAACCACATAAAAGAAAAACTGATAAAAACAGGTAGACAAACCTTTCATAACAGTTTTGCTACAGAGAATAAAAATGATGTCGTTATTGGCCTATTTTATTTGTTTTCCACATTTATAATGTATTTCTTTAAAGAAAGGTTTATTATACTATTTTTTTTTAATTTGAAAGACAAAATCCAATGGCACAAATTCCACAAACCACAAGTTTAAAAAAGATGGACTAAGTTCATTTTAATTTCATCCTGGATAATTACTGGAAAGCATGCAAGACCTATTATGAGAGGTCTGATTATTAAAAATCATTATGCATTTACAGCATCTCAGGGCCAAACCAATGACTAATTCTTATTCTCATGGTGCCCTGGATGAAGTGATGACAAACATGTCCAAGAATAATCCTGGTTTGGCTGGGCAGAGTCACATATAGCATAGAGACCTCACATTCTTCCTCCATCCTCCAGAATGGGGCAGCCTTGAATAAGATGTCAGCCTTTACAGAATAAAATATTTCTGCCCTTCCTGTCCTCCTTCTATTCCCCCAAACCAAGAATTCCCAAGGATATGATTCATTTATTTCAAATATACCCTGAAAAGAGTGGGGGAAAAAAGAGACCTTGTAATCGGACAGAACTGAAGTTTGACCCTAGGTACTTGGGAAATGTACTAAAACTTTCTGGCTCTCAGATTCTTCAAAAGGAATATATGGACAGTACCAATCAATTCTGGGGTTTATGTGGGAACAAAATGAATGATCACTGGGGCAAAGTATCTGGATCGTAGAACACAGCAGTATGTGTCAATGGAAGTTTGGGGTAAGAGAAAGCAAGGTTTCCTTGAACCTTCTTCTAGGTACCCCACAAGTATCAATTTTTGCAGTATAGGTGGTTATAGTAATTGCTGCAGGAAATACAGAGAATTTATGGAACATGTCTTACTTCACTAAAGCTGGGAGGAATGTTAAGACTTTCTGAAGTGTTCCAGTGATACCAGAATCTAATATGTAATAGCTAAATGAAACATTTTTCTGCTCTGAACTTGTTTAAAATTCATCTTCTATGATTTTTTCCCCACCCTTCAAAAAACATTTGCTTCTCTACTTGCAAAATATGCAAACGTTTCATTTAGTTAAACTATCCAGTGTTTGTTCCACTGCTTACATATGTTCCATCAGAATCCCTCATCAGCACTGCCAACATTCAGCAGTAACTTCCTGGAGGGAAAGAATCATCTTTGCATAGTTTACTTTGTATTGTTCTTTACCTAGTGCTGAGTATATACTGAGTCTTTAATAACATTTTAAGTATAAATAAAAATATTAAAACTTAAAACCCTATAACCCACTGAACTTTAGTCACATTAATACACAGGTTTGCATATTTCTAAATTTTCCTAGAAAACAAACAAACAAAATTTATTTCACTAAAGTATTTCAAGTCATAACATCTCTTTTCACATATCCCTAGGGTCCCATGAGTCAGTACTAATATATTTGGTAAACTATTGGTTGCAGAAGTTGCTAGATGTTGGCCCAAAATTCATCCTTCTATTTTTCTCTACCAAAAGAGCCCCAACTTTGTTCAATGTGACAAAGTGCCTGACTAAACATGATCAGCTTCATAGACTCAGCTGAAGTGATGGGTATTCATATGATATTGTTCAGGATGGTGAAAGAGAAACAGAAGTCACTGTTTGAGGCTTCTGAGAAAGCTGGTTATTAAAGGGGACAGCTGCAGCTGGTCTGCACCTATTTTTATTTTGCCCTTTCTGTTTTGTCATTCCCTTCTTTTTGCCTAAAACATGGGCATAATGCTTGGAGGAAGGAGAGTTATCTTGTGGCCATGAAGACAAAAGCTACATAGGGGCAGAGCAGGAAGCTAGCTAAAAGGAACCTTGGTCCTCTGTCTCATCCTTGAGCAGTTGTACCAGTCAGCTCTGGACTACTTGTCTGTGGAGTTCATGTTTCGTGACAAAGATAAAATCTATAATCCTAAACAGAGTAGCTAATAAACTTCATAGTAAATTTAGATAATATTTTAGTGGAAACATATATAATTCATGTGGCTGAGGCAATAGATATAATTAAATCATAAAAATTATATACCAATAAATCATGTAGGAAGTATAGTTTCTTGATATTTGAGAAACCCTCACATCATCTTACTTGTAATCACATACATTTCTTTTTTTTTGAGACGACGTCTCGCTCTGTTGCCCAGGCTGGAGTGCAGTGGCATGATCTCAACTCACTGCAACCTCCGCCTCCCGGGTTTGAGAAATTCTCCTGTCTCAGCCTCCCAAGTTGCTGGGATTACAGGCACGTGCCACCACGCCCAGATAATTTTTTGTAATTTTTTAGTAGAGACGGGGTTTCACCGTGTTATTCAGGATGGTCTTGATCTCCTGACCTCGTGACCCGCCCGCCTCGGCCTCCCAAACTGTTGTGATTACAGGCGTGAGCCACAGCGCTGGGCCAATCACATATATTTCTAATACCATTTTCTCAAGCAGGTATCTCACTTCCGGTTCCCTAGTGAAAGTATCATTGATACGTAGTGGCATTAGAAACATGATTAATATAGAGCAATGAGGAGTGTATTTTGTTCAGAAAATAGGTAGGAAGTAAGGGATTTATTGTAAGCAAACAATGTGTGTATAAAATTCATAAAACAGAAGATATAATCAAAGAAGAAAATATTTAGATAAAGATAAAAAAGAATCAATTGTTATTGCTAAAAAAAGTATGTTATATGCTATCTAGCCAAGAAAAGGAATCATTAGAAATAGTATTTCATAAAGAGCCTGCCTAACGGAAGCAGACAAAGTAGTAATATGAGAGAGAGTTGGGTAATGTGACCTGAATCATGTCTTCTAATGATATTCATATCTGCTTCTAAGTTTTTTTCTACAAAAACAGACAACCTGATAAATTATCATACTTTAATACTTGTTTCATCAGTTGAATGGAAGTGATACTGTAGTCTTATAGGACGGAGAAGGAGCAATACAGTTTACAAAATCCAATTCAATTTGGCAAGAATTTTATTTAGCATCTACCATGTGTCAAGCATTGTGGTAAGAAGTGAAGTTATAAACATGAATAAAATGCAATCTCTGACATGAAAAGATTTAGAGTCTGCGATTGAGCTAGAGAAGTAATCAGATAACTGTAATAAAATATGGTATAATCTATCTTTGTAACTAGTATATTTGGGATAATAAAATAAAAATGCAATTCTGGATATTCACTTGTGTGAGGAGGGATTTTTTTTTTCTTTTTGATGCATCAGAGAAGACTCCAGGGATTAGGGGCCTCAAAGTATGTATAGGAGTTTGCCAATCAGATAAGGGGTGTTGGAATGACCTTCTAAACAGATGAGAAGCAGGAACAAAAACAAGTTGGTATCAAAGTTTGCATAGTTAATGATGCCCTGCAAAATGCCTGGCATATGTAAAACAACCTATTCATTTGTGAATGAATGAAGGAATGAATAAATGAACAAATAAATAGTATGTTTGGAGAGCAGTAAGGATTAAGTCATGGTTGTAATGTATCAGGTGTATGATGGTGCATAGCACCAGTCTACGAAAAGCCTTTTGTGACATGCTGGGGTTGAAGAACAGGGCAATTTTTACATGATTAGGGCAGAGGAATACGACACTAACAGATCAGAAGGGCTTAATGGCTGGAGTCTACACAATGGCGTCAGGAAAAGCTGATGAAAACATTGGACTGGGTAAGGAAAAACAAATAACTTCACTTTGTAACATGTTGATCTAGGTTGAGATGCCCCAGTAAGCAAGTGAAAAAACACATCTGGAGCCTAGGAGAAAAGAGGGGCTTGATAGAGTTATATACAAACACTGGTCTATAGACTCAACAAATTTATGGAAAACCTATGATGGGCCAGATAGTGGAAATGTGAAGATGAATAAGGCACAGTCTTGGCCCTCAAGAAGCTTATAGTAATTATGATTCGGTGTGATACATATAAGAATAGATGCATTAACAAGACATATAAGTAATATATGGAAGGGAATAATTAATTCCACATAGTGTGTGTGTGCTGGTGAGGATGGGGAGGATATTAAAGGAGACTTCACCAAGTAGTTGACACACAATTGAAATTTAAAAGATGCAAAAAAGATTTCTAGATGAAAAGGTGAAGAAAGCCCTATTGAGAAAAAAGAAGGGAAGGCCAGCTGCATGGAGACATGAACCGATGTTTGAGTAACTATAAGTAGTTTGATATTGCAGCTCATATAACATGTAAAAACCAGGTAATGGACAATGAGATCAGAGTGCCAGAGCCATTGCAGCAGACAACTATCAATCTATTGATTGATACTATACAATCCATCTTTTCTTAAGGTTTCTAATACCAAAGGGAAGCCCATTGAGCGTAGCAGATATATACTGAGGAGTTTAGGATGCAGATATTATTTTAAAAAATTAAAGATAAGAAGGGAATGAGTTCATTACTGAAGATTTTACATAAGAAATCATAATAGTAAAAATAAAATTCTGACAATATTGTTGGAAATGATCCTGAAAAGGCTGATCAGAGAGAGACATCTCAAGAAACCTGCTCAGAATCCTTTTTAATTAGTTCAGATTTAGACAATAAATATATAAACAAACAAAAGTTAGTGCTGGGATGAGATTCAATAACTGTTGCATCTGGAAGTAACCTGAAGTATCACTAGTTCAGCCTTTTCATTGCAAGGGTTGGAAAACTGAATCCCAGAGAGGGAAAATCATATAGTATATTAATAGAATTTGGGGTTCACTGTTTTCTTGTTCCAAAAGAGAACAGTTCAGGGTTCTTATATACTACTCTGTAGGCCAGCTGTATTGTAAGCCAACTGTATTGTATCTCCTGGAGAGTTTTAAATATCTTTATTTCCAAAGATTCCATCCCTCGTTCCTCAATTTTAATTCAGTAGTCTGGGATAGACCCAAGATCTCCATTTTTATAAGACTTGCAAGTAATTTTTTAGACTTGAAAATGAATTGTATAAACATCCTCTAAGACTGTGTATGGCAGTGGTGATTGTTATTGATTACGGAAAATAAATTCTCCTGAAATGAAGGAAAACTTCAAATGATGGCCATGATTTTGAGAAACTATAATTTTAGTCATAGTTTAATCACCAGTTAATATGTTTTAAATGCTGGATACTATGGGAAGAAGGTAGAATGTAGAGAGAATAATTTTGTCTTTTATGTTTGTTTGCTTTTACAGAGATATTCTATCCAAGAATTTGCTACAGTCTTTCTGTGAGACAACAGATTTCTTCATGTCAGCACATCATAATGTTCAATGTGTTCCTTGGTTTGTCACTTGAGAACGTGCAGTAGCACTAGCAGTAGAAGATGTCAAGGTGGCAGCTTTTACAGCAATGCAAGTGTTAGCATTAAAAGTGTAAGGATTTATATACTATGCAAAGGAATTTTCTGTGTATTTTGTGTTATCAAAATGCTTAACTATTAGGTATTAAAGGTTCTGTGTCTATACTGATAAAATTTAAAACTGTAAAAATAGGCACAATCAAATAACAAACTTTAGCCACAGCTTGATGTGATTCAAGACCTTTAACTGGATTTAGACAGAGGCTCTCTAACTGGGTGGGGGCAGGGTGGGGGCGCATAAAATCCTTAGTTCAGAATCCCTGAACCAAACTAGGAAACAATGAATGGCCATTAAAGTCTCTACTGATTTACTCAATATTTGTGAGAGGTCTCTTCACACTCAAGACACGGCCTTTCCCTATTCCCTTAAAAAGCATGCTAGAGGCTGGGTGCTGTGGCTCATGACTATAACCCTGACACTTGGGAGGCTGAGGCAGAAGAATCACTTGAGCCCAGGATTTAGAGCCCAGCCTGGGCAACATAGTGAGACTTTGCCTCTATTAAGAAAAAGAAAATGAAGAAGAAAAAGAAAAAAACATGCTAGGCAACTTTTACTCTGAAGGAACATTTCCCGGTAATTAATTGATGCCAGTGGAGATTTACAATTAAGGAGGATAAAAATTTTAAGACAGGGAACTTCTCTCAAGTCTTCAATAAAATAACAAGGAAAGTAGGGGATACTTGTTTGTTCACTTTGGGTGAACATAGATGAGAGATGGCAAGATTTGGTAGAATAGAGCTTTAAAATTCACAGATGTTATGGATTTGTGTGGTTATTTACATGTGATCTCTAAGTCTCTAGACATTGCACCTGTGCAGTTCTTCAAGCCATGAAACAATCAAGTAGCTAAAAAGTTGATCTGGTCTTCAGATTGCTGACTTCTCACACACATAACCTAATTCCTAAACTCATATGGATTTTTCTATCACTAATGTAGCTTTGCTGTTATCTACCTCACTAATGTAGGAGAACCTATAATGTAAAAAAGTTTCTTTTTTGAAAATTTAAAATTAATCACAGGGCAAATTTTATTGAAATTTTTAAAGTTGTTAACTTGTATTAGACTTTGTATAAGGCAATGGTAGCTTGGTTCAAACCAAGGACAGTATACAAGAAAGTCTGCACAAACCTCACCAAATTTTTGAAATGGAAATTTTTTTTAATTTGAGGATTCATGAAGATCTATGGGTATACACATTGTGAATGTTGAGGGTCTACTATAATTCTACTATAATTAGTTCTTATGAGTGGTTTCTACCTCATCTAAACAGAGAATACAATTTTCATTTTGAAAAATCCACTATACTATAGTAATTTATTAGCATTTATCAAGTGCCTTTGGGAAAAGGAACTTAGTGACCAAACATAATTTAACTTAAAATCATGTTAGATTCTTGTAATGAGCTTATATGATTTTCATATTAAGATAGGGTGACTTAAATATTTTGAAAGAACAGGCCGGGTATGGTGGCTCATGCTATAATCCCAGCGCTTTTGGAGGCCAAGGTGGGTGGATCACTTAAGGTCAGGAGTTCGAGGCCAACAGGGTGAAACCCCGTCTCTACTAAATATACAAAAATTAGTTGGGCATGGTGGTGCATGCCCGTGACCCCAGCTACTCAGGAGGCTGAGGCAGGAGAATTTCTTGAACCCAGGAGGCAGATGTTGCAGTGAGAGGAAATCTTGCCACTGCACTACAACCTGGGTGACAGAGTGAGATTCTGCCTCAAAAAAAAAAAAAACAAAAAACAAAAACAAAAACAAAAAAATTTATTCCACATTTGTTTCATCTTTCCAAATGCTGTGCTTCCAAATTCAGCATTACTAAAATAATCACAATCAGCACAATCTTAGATGTTCTTAGAAGAACTGACCATTTAATACAACTATCCCAAGCAATTCTAGTTTAAATATTCATTTTGTAATAGATTTTCTGAAAAAGCAGACCAAAAGATTAAGGAACAATGAAGCCACTCTGAAGACAATTTTTTAAAAAGCCACTATAAATGTCATAACAGGAGATTTCTAGCACTAAAAAGAAAAGGAAAAAGCCTTAGGGTTCCAGGTTCTTCTAAGTAGCTGAGATACTCAAGTGGAGAAGTGCTTTCCTATTGAAACTCCAACTTAAATAGCACAAACTATTCTTGGTGTAAGACAAGAATTAAATATTAGATACTGGATTGTAAGAATGGGCACGGTTTTATTTTGTTAGTAAAATGATATGTTAGAATATCTTTTAGGTTCATGATAGAATTAGATAGTTACAGATATTTAAAGTTTCTGTGTTCTTATGGGACCAAAGAGACAGCAATAAAGTAAAATAGACAAGATTACATGATGAGAGAAGAAAATAAAATGGTAAAGGAGAAAAGAAAGCAGTAGAAAAGGTGAAGGTAGCAGAAACATTTTAAGAAAACCAATAGAAATGTGGAAGGTGGGTTGATAGAAATATATAAATAGAATCCACAGAGGAAACACAAATAATCTTAAATGTAAGTAAATTTCAAAATAATTTTACTTTTTGTCTTTAATCATGTGCTGACACTGTTCTTCACTTTGTCATTCAATTTAGCTTGTATAACACTTCCAAACATCTTAAGATAAAATTCACAGCCTAAGTCTTAAATCCTATAGAGAGCTCCCATAACAATATTAATGTTCTATTTCTTTCTTGCTCTCACTTTAGTTAAGGTAGAGAAGTCAAGGGAATATATACTTAAAATCCTAATGGATTACAGAAAGAAGCAAGTGCTTGGGTAGCTAAGAAAAGCGAAAATTTGGCCTCCTAGATAGCAAAGTTCTTCCATATTTAATTTATGGAAGTTCAGTATTATATATGCAACATACATTTTCTTTCACTGCAATCTGAGAAGCAAAAGTACATTTATTAATTCCCTATTTTCTATTTATCATCCATGTTAAAGTATGATTTTTCTCTATTCATTATTGATCACATTACTACTGCAGATCCTAAGAGTTACTGATGAATGATGAAGAATGAGGGGGATTTAAAAGTATCTGTGTTGCAATCAACTAAACAGTGTTTATGCAAAAATGTTCTCCTTCCTGTGGACATTGCTTGATGTGGCTGAAAAGCCTTAAATTTTATAAACTCCCCCTTTTGTTGACCTTCCTTAATAAATCCAATGCTAATTTGATTGCTCTAGTCCCCTCTTGTCTCTTCTGCTTTTTCTTCTTGCTCTAAAAAAATGTGAATGTTACTGAGCTCCTCTTTTCAAATTACCTTTTTCAGAAATCTCCTCTACTACCATGGATTCATCTATCACTTCTGTGTTGTTCCCCAAATGTTTCTCTTTAGTCTTGACCCCTCTGTCAAGCTTTCTTTCAAATTTGCTAAAAGCTAGCTATTTCTACTTTCTTGTCTTGCCATCTCCTCAAACTCAACATGTCTAAAGCTTAAGTCATCATCATGCCTACCTAAATAGTTTTTAAAGGATTATCCTTATTCCAGGTTTCTCAGAATTCCCTTCCCTGAAAATATCCTCCAAATGTTCCATTGCTATCTTCACAGACCACTGCTTTGATAATTTCACTTCCTCATCAAAAAACTTTAATAGCCCCTTCTACCCAATCTATAAAATACTGACTTCTTGGCTTGACATTTTAAGTTCTATACAATCAGCGATGTGTATTTCTAACCCCCAACCCATTCATTATTACATTAGTATGATATCTCTAGGCTGATCAAAACAAACTACTTACACTTGCCCAACCAGATCTCAGAATTTCCTATGTCTACATCTTTGATGACATCTTTAAAAAAATTCTCCATCAAAAATTCCTTTATCTACCAAATTCCTTTTCTTTAAGCCCAACATACATGCTACCTTCTCTACAAAGTCTTCCCTGACCACTTGTAGCCTGAATTGTTAATTTTCTTTTTTAAATGCTTATTGTTCTTTCTGTTTTTCCCATTTCTACAGCACATCCACTGTGGCCAATAATGTTTTTATTTGTGTGCAACTCTGAATATCTCCTCAACTAAGTCATAAGTCCCTGAGGACATTACACATGATAAATAATCACTCAATTTATACTGAATGAATGGATGTTTTTTTTCCTCCTCCAAATCTCCTTTGCTCCACTCAGCACAATCTCCTCCTTATTCATTGTTTCAACAAGTTTATTTATTGAGCTCTATTATTCACCAAGCACTGTGCTAGGCACTAGAGAAGAGCAGGGAATTCATGATTCCTGCTGTCATATCGCTTACAGTTTAATAGAGAAGATAAACATTAAAATATAAGTTTATGTTTGGAGAGTGTGAAGTGTATATGTGGTGGGAGCCTATAGCAGGGGAAAACACTCTAGTATTCCTTAAAACACACAATTACAACAAGGGCATACTTCAAATCATTGAAATAGCTGGTAATAGTAACAAATTACGGCCAAATGCTATGATATAGAATATATATCATAACCTTGAATTAAATACCAATTTCCTGGAGGCTAGCATAATGGTAATTATTTATTAACTCCTTATCCAAGGATTTACGGTAAGTACTTTATATAATATAATTTTTGGTCTTCACAGCAATCTTGAAAGGTTGGGTATCTTTATTCCTATTTTAGGGATGAGGAAACAGGCTCCAAAGAGATCAGGTTATTCTATCCAAAGCCCTATTAATGGCAAGGGCAGGCTTCAGATCTGAAACACATGGTTCTTTCTTCTATATGCCATGAGTAGATCATATGGTAAGTTTTCCACACAAGCATGCTTAGTAGTAATGAGCTCAATGTCCCAGACCCTCCTCCACAGGGTGTCAGCCTTGAGCAGCTGGTCATGGATAGAAACATCATCATAGTTTAACAAAAATTGTATTCTATAACATTCTTTTAAATTTGCCTATTTCATGCTGCTTTTAAGAAATGTTCTTCACTGGAATGGGAAAATAAGAGCCACACAAGACATAGTCTGTTCTTGTAAACAGTATTTGAATTAAATTCTTTTTTTTTATGATCAAGAAATAATGTATTAGACCTCCTGTTCATCTTTCAATACACAGAAAATATAAATAGTAAAGAATATCTTTAAAAACTTATTTCTAAATTTCTGGCATCATAATAGATCGCTCTATTTAAACCCGTATCTCAATTTTTCTGGCAATGCTGCTTTTATTTGGAATAAAATGTGGTTTAGCTTCTCTCCACTTCTTCTACATTATATTTAAAAGTAATATTGAAAAAGAAATATTCAGTTTCATTCTTTATCGCTACATAAATAAAATGTTATCATTTCCTAAAATACATTTTGTAATGAGTGATTCTATATCCCATATAAGTTAGTATTTTCCTCCAGAATATTTTACAAATTATAAACTTTTATAACTTATTCTTGATTTTTTACATATGATATGGAATTTCAGTATTGATAATTAGTTTACTATAGAATTTCTGGTTTTGTCAGCTTTTGTTATTTTTAACAATTTGGAATGAAATAGTAAAGTAAAAATAATGTTAAGTTGCATTATATCAAAACATTTCAATGTAGATTATTAAAGTAAATACATTGGTTAAATAATTTTTATGTAGCTTACATTTCTCATAAATTCAATTTATAATATTTCAAGGCATGAAACAAAACAAAGCTTCCTCAGATATACAGAATTATATTTGCGCAATGGTTTTCCATACATATGGGCTTTAATTCTTTGTTTCCAAGGCACGGTTTCTGGATGGGGCATGTTAATAAACAAATGTTTTGTAACAAAAACCAAGCAAACAAAAACATAATCCTTACTTCATAAGCTAATATCCAACAAGATATACCCAATCCTGAAAAATTAAGATACCTCACTTACTTCAAAATGAAAACAAAATAAATATTTAACCATGGAATTTAAGATCTTGTTCATCAGTTAGCCCAACATCTTTATTTTAAAGATGTCAAGTAACTTCCTCAGACTTATATAACTATTTGTGGCAGAGTCAGAATAAGACCCCCAAGTTTAATTCTCTTTTGCTTTTTACTATTCCATTCTTGAACTTCTTAAGACAGAATTATAAAAATTTTATAATTCAATTACCTATTAGAAAGGAGAACTTTATATTATATATTAACCTACAATGAAGGAAGTGATTACAATGCTAAAAACTAATATTCATCTAAGATAGCAAAGCAATGGCATTTACCTTAAATTTACGTCTCTGCTCTGCACAGCTGTTGAAGAACCACAAGTCTGTCTCATGGCTGTAAATGTAACAAGAACAATAATGCGACCAATTTTCATATCTAAACTAAATTAAGTAGATTTGTCATAGGCTAGAAAATTGAAAATGTATTTTACAAAAATTTTTTTAAATTTACAGATTATGGAAGTGTGCATGTGTGTATGTGCATGTTGGCATTTATGTGTGTGTGGGGTGATGTGTTAACTTACTCTTTCTAAACTGAAAATTAGTTTCATGAAATTGAAAGGATTAAGTATTATTCTTTTTGGCTAACTTTCCTCATTATGGATCACTATGAACATATCAAGTCTAGGAAGTGCTAGGAGTAGATTTAAATAAATAAAACAAATTAAAGTGAGAAGCTGTCTTTGGCTGTTATTATTAGGATATGTTTTCTGGTATACACAGTAAGAATGTAAAGCAGAAACATCTGGTAATGCTTAAGTTAATATTGGCTCCCATTTGCATCACAATCTTTATATATTATTCATCAATATGCCATTAATCAATGTACTTGCTGATTGCACCTATTCAATTGGTGTTTCATGTAATGAGATTATGTAAACATGTTTCAAATACATATATTCAGATATCTATACATGAAAGTGAAATCACTACTACAATTGGCACTCAAGCTTGTCAGATGTGATGTTTTCTTCTTTCCATTTTGCATTAGACATGCTAATATCTATGCCATCTGTAGCACAAAATCCTGAACAAATGTAAATGAAAAAATAATAGTAGATAAATACTAGTCTACTAAAAATAGACTCTGTACCATGTCACACTTCAAATCTGGCCACCACTTCTTAACAGAGAAAAGAAATTCAGGTGAATGTTAACAAGCAACTGAATATTGTTCTTGTGACTTGAGCCATCAAAACAGGTTTTGAAATCTGTATTTTCTTTCAAACTTTATAAAATAGTTCTCTATCAAAACTATACTTCAAAATAAAAAATACAAAGTATCTCTTTTGGTTCTCTAAAGATGTTATGCCTGACATATTAAGAACCATCATAATCGATTAATACCAAATATCTTGCCTTGCACCTACAGATTTTGAAACATTTTCAATTATCCTTTTGAAATGTAAAGATAATACACTAACTCTATTATGAATGTTTGGTTAAACACTTGGTTAAGTAGAAAAAGATATAAATTTTGAGAGAATTATATAAGAAAACTTTTAAAATGCTAATTTCATATCAAATTATTGAAAATTTTAATGAAAACATCGTACCCTTTTTAAAAACATAAGTGGCAAATAGTGCAACTCATGCTAAATAATATTTGAAGATACAAGGATAAGCATTACCTAATATTCCTGTTTGACAACAGATGTGTAAGCTAGTATCAAATGCTGTTAAGCTTTTATTGGAGTTTTAATACAATCCCAGCGTGTCTCCAGTTGCTAAGCTTATCAAGTCCTATGAAATACTAAAAATGAAGGCTCACATTTTATTAATTGCAGTGTATATTTTGGTGAATAAGTCTCATTCAATATCCCTAAATTCTCATTCATAAAACTCAACTTCTCGTTCCTATGACATTTTGGCATGAGATCTCATTAAAATTACAAACTAATACTGAAATGCTAGTTTTACAGTCTAAACAATGGAGATAAATTCAGATTAATATGCATCACAAAATGAAAAACAAGTGACACAATGAAAGTCTTTGTAGTCATGGTCAGCAACTGCAATTGTTAAAAGGTATTTATAATAGTTTTAATCATTCTTTTATGCTAAAACAACAAGACTGGACACTTCTGCTCAAAATTTTACTTCTGCATTGATAAACAAACAACAATTTCTTATTTTAGAGCCATTAATATTCCCACATTCTATTGTGGGTATTTTGTAAGGAAAAGTACGTATATTTTAGTCCAAGTATCAAATCTTGCCTTTCAATGCAACAACAACAACAAAAAAAAAAAAAAAAAAAAAGAAAAGAAAAACTAAAGCCCAGCCATTCTTTCCAGAGATACCCTGGTAACCAGCAATATAGAAACTTCTACTGGACTTAGCTTTGGAGAGGAAGAAGCAACTGCGAATTCCTCTATTTTGTCAAGAAATATGATAAAATAGAATTAGGAAAATATATAGTGTTTTTTAGACACTCAAAACAGTAACTTCATTCCTATCTTTTGCTTATGTTGCCAGCATCTAATTCTCCTTTTCTATTCCAACAAGAAAGCAAAATTCCCACTCTGAAGCCATAGTGAGGATAAACATTTCATTTGCTATCTTCTGTGACTTCTATGTAAATTTTTCTCTGTCATGTAAATGCATGAAGAGACTCTCATGCAATCAGATAACTCCATGGAAATACTACACCTACGCTCCCATTATAAATTGGGGAAGAATATGATGGTGAGGAAAGTGACACAGAATTATTCATTAGTTAAAACAAAGGAATGTGAAGTTGCTTTTAAAAGAGAAAAAAAAACTGAAAAGAATCTTAAACTCAGGGTGATTAAATAAAACTTTCATTTCCAGTCATGGCAGACATCTGTACTCTGTTGAAACATCCCTTATCCCCAAGTCCCTCTTCTTCTCATCCACCCTCCACAGATGACTTTGTTCCCAGGAAAATCGGTTCTTATCTCAAATTTGTTTAGGGACCATACATTTTATCCAGTTTTTAGGTAATAACTAATTTTTGGATTGTACAGATCAGTAGCTTATAATTCTCTCTTATACAAACTAAGCTCCAGAAGGCCATCATGTAAGACTTAGTTACTAACATCTGTAAGTACACCTGAAAATAAAAACAGACAGCTGGGCCATAAAAAATTGTTTTGTTTTGTTTTTTTTGTTAAAGCCACAAGAGATGTTAAAAAACTAAATTTGCCTTATTAGACATGTATATAACACATGATTCAGGAAAAAGCATTACTTATCTTTCAACAGAGCTGGTGAACACTTTGAGAGATGTTTTATGCAATTCCAGAATTTACCTTCCAAACAGTCAAAAAATATACCTTAAAAATGTTTCCCCCCCCACCAAGAAAATGTCCCACATATTTTGGTTAAGAAGACTGCATAAAACAAGGATTATATTATGTAACAAAAGTTACTTTAAAAGACATACATACTATCAGTTTCACAGGACAAACATAGTGAGTAAGGACAACAAACTCCAGAATGTGTTTTTATAACTGTAGCACCAGCAATAACTCCTTGGCAAACTCAAACAGTTTTTTTGGCAATCCTCGAAGTTTTCTGCATTTGTCACTTGGATACAACTGCGGAAGGGTTGTCTAAGACTTCTTTGTTTCCTTCCACACCATTTTACTATAACTTTGCTTTTAAGAAAAAAATTTTACATTTCAACCTATGTATGAATAAAATCCCACAAGGGGGTTTTATGCAAAATTCTTTATGCCTATGTACACCAAATATGGTTCCTATGTATTTTTTGCAAGGAGTTACCTTGTAAACTTTTAAAATGTATGCCAATAGAATATTATTTTTTTCTCCTTTAAGAAGATAAAATGAATTCTCTTTATGAATTAAAATTACCTACATATGCAAATGTAATAATTTCCTGTATATATACAAGTGGGTCTGCACATCTGTTATCATTATGAACATCTTTTAAAATAAGACCCCAAGGACAGGAGTGCTTTACTAACCTGCAGTGGTCTCTGTTTATCACTGCTCTTAGGAGATTTCAATCCACTTGTTTGCTGCTGTAAAAGAAGTTGTCTTGCTGCCTGGAGAGCCTAGAAGTAAAAATGAAACCTTATCTAAATATTTTGTTGAAAGTTAAGTTATCAATTATCTCTTGGTTAATAGTAAAAGGCTTCAATGTACAAGAACTCCCATATTCCTTTCTAGAGAGAATCATTGTTGTTTATCTTCTAATATGAAAAAAATTGCCAAACACACATATATAACTTTTTACTCCAAATCACAGAGAAACATGCAATCCTACAGGAAATAAAGTTAATTTGTTTAAAGTGCTTAAAGAGGATAAAAATCATAAACTGCATCAATAACCTCATTTCCACAAGGAACTTGTCTTTGAGTGTTAACTAAAATGCCCACTCCCTTTTAAATTATCATTCAATTTGCATTTTCATATTACAATTTTGAGGCAAAAGCAGTAGACTTCAAGTGTTACCGGAAGCTGTAATTAAATTTGACAAATCAACATCAGATTATCTTGAAAGTGAATTAATAAGGATTTTCACTAAAGATTAAAAACACTTTTTTTGTACTTACAATTCAAGGGGAAACCTCTCCTTTGACAAAATAAAGTGCAGTTTTAATGCCAAATAAAATTGAGTGGTTTTCATTTGCATTCTTAGCAAAATCAGAGAACAAAGAAATTACCACTCAACCAATCAGGTTTGTTTCTATGTGTGACAGAATACCAATCAAAATAGAAGATGTTTTCATTTATTTTTATGTTTTCTTTCCCACTTAGGAAAATAAAACTTAACATAAGAAATTAATGTAAGCATTTCATTTACTGGAGGAGGAACAGTTCAGTAAATGTACTATATAAACTTAACATATAAAAGCTAGTGCCATAGACCAAAATGCATAGTAAATTCTTCTAAAGGTAGGAGTATACACTAATTAACAAAAACTTTTAAGAGTCTCTTAAAAAATTCATTTTCTCTCTCAACAACTGAGTTCAATGAACACTAATGATGAAATTTTTCAACACATAAAACTAAACTAAATCATTGGCCTAATATGTTATTTACTGTTTTTGAATACAAGATAAATTTTTCACAATGAGAAAACATTATTGGATTAATATTCCTATATAATAATTAAGAATTTCAGCTGATAAAAAGTACAATTTTGATTGTAATCAATGATCTGGTTTTTAAGAGAGTTTCTAGTATCCATGACAACAGTTGCTTTGACAAGATGTGCATATGGCATTACACTGCCAGCTGGTGTGAACAATGTTTGAACTACTGCATTGAGATGCTGAGCAAACAGAAAAAGTTGCCACGTCTTAACCCTCAGGGAAGGCAGTCATCCCCTGATCAATTATGAAAAGACAGAGAGGGCTGCTACAGTCTGGCTCCAAGCAAGTTTTCTGAGAAGGCAGGCAGACATAGAAACCAAAGTAAACAAACTGAATGCACTAGCACCATCTCCTAACAACATTGATTTGTCTTCCGATAGCAGGATCTGGCATAGTTTGTAAAGCACACTTTTTACATTTGGAGACACACTCACTCACGATAATCATCTTTGTTGTTGTTTTTTAACTTTTCAAGTAATTACAAATTAACGTAAATATTTCTAAGGATGGCACATTCCAGTGAACTCAGGCTATTTATTATAGAGCTCAGTTTGAAAATACAAACAAAAAAATCTGTAATTACTTTATTATCACAAGGCTCACTATTTGAAACTTTTTATTCAATATTCTAAATAATATATCTTTCCTCTTTTAATTGTAACTTATAAAGTGACTACAAATGATAATTTTCCAAATGGAAATTACAATAGGTGTCCCAGGCTGTGTCTCTGAAATTCTCAAAATAAAAAATGCATTTGATTATTTTTCCAGTTAATGCCTAATTGTTTTCATGTAGTTTTTTTTTCTTTTCGAGTTGATGAGTTTATTTTGTATACCTGTTGCCTTAATTTATATTAAATTATGTAGTTATCTATTTATTATTCTTTAAAAAATTTATTGAACACTGTTTAGGATCTTAGAATCATGAATGACAAGGACTAAAAGCTATCTTGAAAATCATCTAATCTGACCTCCTTATTCTAGCACATAAGAAAAATGAAACGTAGAATAGTCAGTTGCTTTGTTCAAGATCACAAAGCAATTTATGAATGCTTTGTTCAAGGTCTGCTGGCTTCCAGGCCTGAGTGTATTCCAGTGTGCCATACTGTTTCTGTTCTGTCAAAGGAATCATTAGTAGGCAATGAGTAAGACTCTAGTAAAGGAGAATATATGACATTATAATGAGTTATTCTTCACTAGTAAAGAGAGCATATTCATTTTTCAGACTTTACATGGGAAACAACAATATAACCTTTTTGTTTTGAATCTGTAAACGAATAGAACAACTATCACACAATATATACTGTTTTAATGGCTACTGCCCTCATCATCCTTAACTCGGATTTCATTTTATATTAATACCTCCCTTATGCCTGATGGAACTCTAAACTTTTGTAACATCCTGAGTATCTGATCAATTATTACTATAGAACTGCAAAATTCTAGAGCTGGACAAGGCCTTAGAAACTGTCTAGACTACCTTTCTCAAACAAGTAACTGAAGAAACAATACTAGGATGAGTTGATTGAAGTCACAAAGCAGTAGCAGAACCTGGTCAAAAACTCTGGCTCTTCTCTCCCAAGCTCAGGACCCCATCCATTTTACCAACCTGCGTTATATTCATTCAACATAACCCATGTAATCAATGGAATATGTCAATGCTACGTAATGTCTGTAGACAAACACTAGAAAATTAAATATATTACAAGTTTTGCTCATCAAAGTATCACTAGTCAAAAGCATACACCTACACTGTTAGTAAAGGAGTAATAATAGTAATGAAATATCACAAGATAGCTGGCTAAAAAAATGCTTCTACTTTAAAGTATTTTGGTTTTCATATGCATTATCTCCAAAATAGCTGAGGATCATCTTTTAATACAAACTCTTAGAAAAAATAACTTCTTTCCTATTTCAACATTCTTTTGGTAGAGTAGAGACTGCTATAGTAAACATAAGAGGTGGGAGAACAAAAAACAATTCTAGGAGATCAGGAATGATTTAAAACTCATAAGCAGAAAGCTCTGGCAGTTTGCATTCTCACTGCATGCATCATATGACATTTTTATTTCCAGTATTCTGGATAACACTTTAGGACTGAATTTCAATAAACAATTGCTCAGGTCTCTGAGCAATTAGATGACATTTAGTTCATCTTTGCAATTTATTATTATAGCCACTCAAAAAATGAAAGATTATTAGATAAAACACTTCCATCAATATAAAATGTTAGGTGTCAAATGACACAAATATTAATTTAAAAATCACTTGCCACTTCTATCAATACAAACAAAATATTAAATCCAGGGCCATTCATAAAGTTCTCTGCGCCATCTAGTCATTTAGATGGTCACCCTCCCCCACAAAAATTAATTTTGAACAAAAGCAAAAGTTGTTTACAAAATTTCCTTTCACAATGATTGAGTCTGTTTCCAATGTATCAGAAACAAGAAAGAGATTTCGAAGGCAGCCAAACCATATCTAGTTTCCAAAAACACATTTGTTTTTAATTAGGGGTGCACATTACTTAATGAAGTTATCCTATTTTAGGAAACCTAAAGAAAATTAAGGTAAGACATCTTAAAATTTGAAATCAGGTTAAATTAAAAAATTTGAAAAAAGAAATAATCTTTATAAGAGATTAAAGGTAAACATTTTGTTAGGCTGCAGAGATGTGGGAATGCACATTTTTCATAATTGAGTGCATTTTTTCTCTAAAATACTTACTGAAAACATCATTCCTAACTCTTACTGTGCAATTTTAACTAAATTTTTGTAAGAAAAGCAAAGTTCAAGCATACTTCTTCACTAGTAGTAATTTTATGCTAGTTATGAACCTCACAGAATAATTCTAATGAGTAGGTCATTGTGTAATTAACTAAGGATGAAAATGCTTTGTAACCTGCCAGATAAATACTTTTTTCCACTGAAGAACACTGAAAACTTTCACCAAATATAAAATTACTTGAGAATAGTTTAGAAATACGCAGTAAAACAAAAAAAATGTTGAGTATGCTAAGGTTTATAAATAACTTTTTTTTCAAAGTAAATATATGTATATTAGGGGAAAAAACAGACATCAGTCATATATCTCCCCATAAAAATAGGAATGCTTAACCTATCAGCCTGTTGCATTTGAGACATTAAAATGAAAAATGACATCTACGCCCATTAATATCTTCAATGTATAAACAGCACAGCGTGACACATTCTTGAGAGCTGAAGGCTACAAAATCTCTCTGAAACATAAATAACAAAGCACTCAGAAGCATATTTGATGTTGATATTCATCTCTGAGAAAAACACTGTTGCCTAGGCTTCTTATGAAAATAGATGCAGCCCAAATGGATCTCCTGTAATTGGTTTCAGATAGTGAGGTCAGAAGAAATATGATACAAGAAACGATTATGTGGAACAGGCGAAACAAGAATGTTTACACAGTCACTCCCTAGTTATACTGACAAGGGGTGTATACTTTGCAGATAACCAGAACCAAAAAAAAATTGCCAGCAGGACACCCAGATTTTTGTTCCTCATATTCATATAGTTTAACCTTTAACACATTGTGTCTTCAACATGTTACTTTGAATACGAAACATAAAATAAGTTTTCAAACAGAGTTTAATTTTCTAATTATCTTCCCAAGTGTGGTTGATAAAAAGTATATTCAGATCCTTCCAGAAAGGATATAAATTCGTATTCTGTTTGGCCTTTCTTCATATTATGTTCCCACTAAAGAGAATATACTGATACATGTAATCCGAAGTCTCATAATGTTATTTAATAGAAGAAAATTAATCATCTAATTGGCATAACCTATTTTCAAATAGCAATCTATCAGAGTGAAATTATGCATCTGTAGCTATTGACCTTTTATTTTTTCATGCCTGATACATAATTAGACTGTTTGTTTTAAAAGCTAATTATTAAAGAATATTTTTAAAATGATATTTTTACAGTATATGTTACATAAAGTTAGAAAATTAATGTGTGGATATATTTACACTGTACATCACTATGGAGGCCAAATTGAGATACTAAGACTACTTATTGTATAATAATTATAAAATAATACTACACTATAATAAGAGTACTTTAATAAGAGTAATTACTTACAAAGCATCCTATTTACCAATCAAATATCTTATGATGTAGAGCCAAAGGAGAGACAATCAGGGTATTGAATGTGTGATGGAATGGATCCTCAAGTCATCCTCAGAAGTGAGAATAAATTCTTCAAGGTTCAAGTCCAAACCCAATATTCAGTATATTTCATTATGGCTCCAAACCCCCAGATGACCTCAGAAATTCTATGAAATAAGCCTGTGAGTTAACAGTAACTAACATCTAAGACAGATTTTGTTTTTTTCAGCTGTAGAATGAGTTTAAAAGGGAGAACACATTCTCTTCCTCAGAGTCAGCATTCTATAAGGTGCAGTACATCAAGTAGCCTGATATTCCTAGCTCTATGTTCTTCACTATTCTATTGCTAATGGTAATAAATTGCTAATGTAATATCCTAATATTACCTACAATAATTTTAAATACATATTAATGAATTCCGTCCAACTTTAAAATTCTAAGGAATGAAAGGTAAAGATAAATTAGGACTGATTTTACTAAAATTATTGCTTTTACAACTTCTGTTTATCATGGGACATGTTCCAGTAACTATAATAGTTTTTGTGCATTCTTTTGATTATTTATCTTTCTGCTATAAAACATTTTATTATTTTCCCAAATAGATTTTAGATTTACTTTTTGTTTTACACATACCTTAGCAGGGTTTTTTTTTTCATTATGAGACCAATATCATCTTTTGTTTGGATATGTATTGAAGACTCATTACTGCTGTATTGCTATGATTTCAACCAGTATATCAGATATTAACTGAAAAATACATGCTACTAAATTATACTACAATATGTAAATGTAAACTATTATTTGAATCCTCTGTTCTGCATATGCTCTTCAACTTAAAAGTAAGACTGTAGGAGAAGTAGCATTTGGGAAAATATTTGGAAGAATAAAATACATAAAAGTGTTTGTCCTTAAAAATGTTTGTGACTATATCCCATATACCTAGCAAAGAACAAAGCACTGCACACTTGTGGAGATAGAAGGGGTGATATGACATTGTTTCTATCTTCAAAAGCTTATTGTTTAATAAGAAAGATCCAGTTGAATGTCAAAAGGCCATAGACAATGTTTTAAAAATGCTTCAGGAGTTCATAAGTAAAAGAAATTATTTTTTGTTGAGAAGCTCATTGAAATTTTTATGGAGGATATAATATTTGGGCTGGAGTTACATGAGAATCATTTCGTGGAGATGACAGAAGGCCATGCCAAGTAGGAACAAAGAAAATGTGAGATTATATATAGTGAAAAGAAAATAATTGATCTTGGATAGAGCATACGCTTAGTCTAGGAACTAGTAAAACATGGTGAGAAGATTGTTTGGGGCTAATTATTGGATAAACTAAACAATAAATGACAAAGAGTCTTCATGTTATATAGCAGGTAAGAACAAATTTTGCTGAAATCTGGCAATAAAATAAGCCTGGCCCAGGACAATACTGAAGTCATGTTGTAAAGGATAGATAAGGGATGAAGAGAGTGAGACAAGACAGAGGTATAAAGACTTGTAAAAACGTACGTGCAACTGTCCAAATAAGAGATAAGAATAACATGAATCATGTTAGTTCAAAACAAGAATCATGAGAGGTACTGTCAAAGAAGAGCTGGCACAACTTAGTAAATGGGTATGAGGTAAAGGCTAGGAGGAGTCAGTGATGACTCCAAAATTGTAAGTCAAAAGAAACTGAAAGAACAGCTGCGCCACTACTAAAAGGGAGGAAATTAGATTATAAAACACAGCCTTTGGAGAGAAGATTATGCTGTTTGCCTGATGGCAGAATAATCAAGAGAAGATTTCTTTAGTAGACAGTAAATATAATGCAGAGCTCTAGGTTGAGGGTGATCAGAGTGATCCCACTGACAACAGATTTCCAAAAGTAAGACATAGGTGAATAGTTAAGGCAAAGGGAGTTTATTAGATTGTTGGTAAAGACACCACAGAGAGAGGAAGAGTCAAGACCCCAAACTGCAGAATACTTTCTTGAAAGGAGATGAGGAAATAGTGAAAAGGAAGACAATGAATTGTGAGGACGGCACAGTAATAGAAGTCCAAAAGATTTCTGGAAAAGGTTAAACAAAGAATTACCACATGATCCATTAATTCCACCCAAGGTACAATATATACCCAAGAGAAAAAAAAACTTACATTCCCACAAAAAGTTGAACATAATTGTTCATATCAACATCATGCATAATAGCAAAAGATGTAAACAACCCAAATTCCCTTCAACTCATGAATAGATAAAATACGGTATATTTATTTAATAGAATATTTGTCCATAAAAGTGAATGGAATATTGATACCTGCTACAACATGGATAAACCTTGAAAACATTATGCTAAATAAAAAAAGTCAGTAACAAAAATCATATACTGTATCATTCCATTTGTATAATATGCCTGGAATAGATATACCTAAAGAGACAAAAAAAAAAAAAAAAATAGATTAGTGGTTACAAGGGCCCAGACGTAAGATAGAATGGAAAGTGACTGCTAATGAGAATGGGGTTTCTTTTTAGGGTGATGAGAATGTTCTGGAATTAAACAGTGGTGATAGTTGAACAACCTAGTGAATATGCTAAAAACTCCCTGAATTGTATACATTAAAAGGGTAGGTTTTGTGATACATAAATTATATCTCAATAAAGTTGTTATATATTAAAAAATTGTGAGAGGACAGGATGAATGATACTATCTTCAAACATCAAAAACTCAAAAAGGTCAAGATTTGTTGAAAAGTTCATGTTGATCTGATTTGTATGTGACCTATCAGATATCAGTTCCTATAGGGTACTGAAGTAGAAGTAGTTTGCAGAGAGTTACTAGGGAATTAATGGGGAAAACCATAGCCATGAGTGCAAACAATTGTTTTGATTACTTCTGTGAAGACTAAAATAAAAGAGAGTTACAGTTTGAGGGGTTTTGTTTGTTGTGTTTTTTTTTTTGTTTTTTTTTTTTGAGACAGAGTCTCACCCTGTCGCCCAGACTGGAGTGCAATGGCGCATCTCAGCCCACTGCAACCTCTGCCTCCTGGGTTCAAGTGATTCTCCTGCCTCGGCCTCCCGAGTATCTGGGATTACAGGCGCGTGCCTCCACGCCCAGCTAATTTTTGTATTTTTAGTAGAGACATAGTTTCGCCACGTTGGCCAGGCTGATCTCGAATTCCTGACCTCGTGATCCATCCGTCTTGGCCTCCCAAAGTTCTGGGATTAGAGGCGTGAGCCACTGCGTCCGGCCCTTTTTTTTTTTTTTTTTTTTTTTAATAAAGAAACATAATAATGAGCTTAATAAATATTTTTTAAAAACTTTTTGTTTGTTTTTGAGACGAAATTTCACTCTTGTTGTCCAGGCTGGAGTGCAATGGTGTGATCTTGGCTCACTGCAACCTCTGCCTCCCAGGTTCAAGCGATTCTCCTGCCTCAGCCTCCCAAGTAGCTGTGATTAGAGGTGCCTGCTACCACGCCCAGATAATTTTTGTATTTTTAGTAGAGATGGGATTTCAACACATTGCTCAGGCTGGTCTGAAACTCCTGACCTCAAGTGATCTGCCCATCTCAGCCTCCCAAAGTGCTGGGATTACAGGCATGGGCCACCACGCCTGGCCAAAAATCGTAAGTTTTAATAAGAAAATTGAGCAAGTCCCTAGAATATGGGAAAGTACTAAATTAAGGAGCAGCAGCAGGTAGGTGATAGACTTATGGGGAGGAGACAGGCTGAAGAGATGGGAGGACAGGTGACTTTGACATGCAGAGGTAGGAAATGGAAAGAGCTCACAGTGGATGGTCTCAACTAATTCAGAAAATAAAGAGGTGTGGTTATCTTTTGAGAATGAGAGAGAGATTGGAATTTCAGGAGAAACAAAAGTGGGAAGCTTTTCTATCACTGTTCTGAGAAATATAGCTGATAGGTAAAAAGTGGTATTTAAACTGCTGTTAGAATATAAAATGTGCTTCCACATACACTGATGACATATAAATATATCGGTATTTTCTTCTGGAATATTGCCTCCAGGACTAAATGAAGAACTACTTACTTTTCTACTGCTCTAATTTAATACAGCTAGTAATACTTAACTTCACATGTAAGTGATTTGTGAAGCCAGAGAGGATAATGTACTTAAAAGTATTTTAAAAGCTAAAGTATAAAGTAGTATTATTCCAGGCGAAGACTTTTGGAATTCGGGTTCCTCCAGTGAGTATCAGTTCTTCTAGGTATATGATGCTTGGAAATATATAATACTAGTCATTTGAAACTAACTCCTGATTACTAGCTTTAGTGGGTTTGCTAAAAAGGTATGTACATTTTAACTAATGGGTCTAGCATAGTGTAAATCCTGAAAGTTTACCTCAATATGCATTTAGTTCTGCAATCTGTCCAAGTTAGATAATGTCCCATTGGATAGAAAGAGTATCTTAATAGAGTCATGTTCTATGATATTTTGAAAAGTTGTATTTTAATCTCCTCTAGGACTTTAAGGGAAGGGATATATAATTTCATGAATGTATTGTGAGATACAACCCCTACTCTCCCATCCTATATCACCACATCTGAATGAATATGCACATATACAATACACCCAATGTATAGGGTCACTTGCACAAAAGAATCTTTTAGTATGGTAGGAAAGATAAAATATATTCAATTTAATTACGTCGCAATGTAGAAATGTACTGTAAGCCATTAAAAGGTATTACAAAAAGTGACTATAAGGGTTCAGTAAAAACAAAGTAAAGTAAAAAGAAAAGAAAAATTAATGATTAAGTGCTCATGATATGCCAGTTATAATTCTAAATTTAATCCTCAAAACACCCTCTTTTTATCACAGATGTATAAACTGAGACTCAGCATAGTTAGGTTATATGTCCAAGCTTTTTCACCAGAGCCTTGGAGTGGCATAAGAGATCTGAACAACTATCTGGCTGACTCTGAAGCTCATTCTCTTTCTACAAGGGGTAGTCAGGAAAATTATATAACTGAAGGGACTTTTATGCAGTAAAAGACTCAAATAAAGAGCTGTTCAGGGTATAAAGAGAACAAAACAAATTCTGAGTTATTAACAGCATTGCTAGTTATGCCAACTAGAACAACATAAATAATTCCAAGCAAATTCTTTTTCTTTTTCTTTATTTTTTATGAAGATAAATAAGACATACAAGCTTATATTGTAAAGGAATTTTACTCCCCTTAAAAAAGTGTCTCTGAAATTATTAAGCACTAGATTTAGGATGTTCACTACAGAAAAAAAGGCCAATATTAAAGATGAAAAATTTTTAATAATAATCTTCTTCTGCCATACCAAATACAAAACGTTATCATCTATAAATAAAGCATTAAACAATATGTACTATTTTCTGATGAAGTTAAAAGTAGAGTTGCCAGATAAAATAGAAGATTCCCAGTTAAATTTGAATTTACTTCTATTTTTACTTGCTAAACCTGACAACTCTAGTTAGAAAAAGTAAGCATTTCAGAATATGTAACCAAGGTAACAAGATTGTTTACACCAAGTTGCCCACTTAAACATAAATATACTATTCATTTCATCAGTGGAAATGTTTTTTAGTCCTCATAAGAGTAATAAAGCCATCTTATCTATATTTGACAGGTTAGCTAGGAGAGTGACTTGAGGGCTTAGGCTGCGTTTCTGTGAGAAGGAACGCTCACGAGGTTATTAATGGATAGCAAAAGGATGAGATGGACCACTCCAAAGGAAGAGTGAGTGAACATGTTTTTGCAAAAAGACAGTCGAAGAAAAGCAGAGGAAGAAAAGCAGAGGAAAAGTTTCAGAGTTCACATTCTAGCTTTCTGCAATTGGAGGCACAGAAGAGAAAAAAACAAAACTTCGGTTCTCTATTCACCTTCCTTTCAGAAATGATGAGGATCAGTAGCCAGAAACCCCAAGACAAAGATTATGACCCTGCATGGTACCAAGGCAAGGAAATGCTACCGCAGATCTACAGGAAAGAGGCTTGAGGCAGATAGCCTCTGCATATGTCACCGAGGCTGGAACCAGGGGAGGAAAGGGATGGTGAGGGAAAAACCATTTGAGAAGAGAGAGGCCTTGGTTAGTGCAGGTGCATAAACAGTGAGCTCAGAACATCTAAAAGAGAGACCCTAAAGCTAATATTAGAATATTCTTAGAAACAAAATGACAGAGATGCCAAGGAGGCATCAGAAAATTCAAGTTCTAATCCCAGCACCATTCTGAGTTTCTGTATGATCTCATCCCTATCATTGATGATCTCTGAATAAATTCCTTCTTCCCAGTTTACAATTTACAAATTTTACAGGGTAATGTAAATTGTGAAACACAAAGCTCATTGAAGATAAGAAATGTTAGCCACAAAGAACCAATTACTGATGAAATATTATAATAATTTGAAAATACTATTAAAAGAATGAAATAAATGAAAGAAGAAATGCATTTATATTTAGATCATATAATTTATTTTTATTTATATAAATATAAAATTTTTGAAATTTATGTTTGTAAGGTAAAGTATGAAGCATATATATGCCTGTGTAACATTTTGAAGCCAATTCACAAAGATACATTTTACAGATCTTGGGCAAACTCACCTGAGGGAGAAATCTGTTTTCTATTCTAGCCATTAAGAAATTTAGGTTAGATTATCTTTAGCATATTATGTGGTAAATTAGAGTTATGAACATTATAATGTGATACGAGTGTTCTTTTCAATAAAATAAGATACAAACTAATGGTGAAAATAATCATTCCTTAATAATTCTGTAACTACATCCATGTAAATTTTACGGTGTCCTTTGGACTTAAGCCCTAAAAATCTTGTCAAGTGTCCTGTAACCTCAAAGAAGTTAAAACATATTTCTGATTTCAAAATTATTTCTTATATTGAATTATCTACAATATGATTGTAGAAAATATGTATATAAATAAAAATGTACAAATATCCACTTAGAAAATGGTTGCCTGTTGGTAGCTATCAGCAGTTTAAGAGCCAGTAGCTGGAAGACCAAGGAAGGATTCTTGCTTGTAGGAAATGACTTGCTAGGGAACGAAGTTCTTAAAGGTGAATATCCCACTGCTGTTTTGTTTTCACTTACTTCCATTACCACAGTGAAACTCAGGCTGGTAGAAAAAACAAGTTTCTCCCTCATCCACTGTTTTTTTAACAAGCTTTTGTCAGTGGCCCACTTGTTGAAGACACATATAAAATCCCAAACCAGGAAGCAAACCCCTTCATTTTGCATTAGCACAAGAAGCACAAGAAGCATTTCTATTGAAGAACCTACCTCACCTAACCTAAGAAAACTTACTTCTTAGGAGAATACATTCAATTTCCCTTAACATCTACTATTGTAAACTTTCTAAGGGCTGGAAATGTTTCTAAATCATCTTTTATAACCCCAAGAATGCACAGCATAGTAGCTGGCACCTAGTCATTTAAAAGACATTTAATTGAAAAGTATGTTTCTTTAGATATTTTTAAACTTGTAAAATGCATGCATATTTTAGCTGGTTCCAGATATCTGAGATGCAAATGGTACACTAAGTAAAGAAAGTAGCATTCCCTCCAGGAACCATGACACTGCCTTGCACACAGTAGCTCCTTTACAGACCTTTACACTAATGACTGTAGAGGACCAACTAGTGATCTAAAATAACACTGAAATTAGCATAATATTTCTTTTCATCAAGTTAAATTAAAATATTTTTACCCATGACTTTACCACAATATATTCTTTACCTCTTTCATTATTTTTTTAAGTGAAGATCCAAAAAATTACTATTGGTTGTCACAAAAGTGTTATCTCACTGTCTCCAGTTAGAATCCTTCAATTATTTTAGGCAGATTGTTTAAGTATAAAAAGAAATCATTCTCTAAACGGCACCCCTACCCTTTTTTTTTTTTTTTTTTTTTGAGACAGTGTCCTGCTGTTTTGCCCAGGCTGGAGTACAGTGGTAGACTCAGAGTCCACTGTAACCTAGAACTCCTGGGCTCATGCAAGCTTCCTGCTTCAGGCTCTTGAATAGCTAGGACTAGAGGCATGCTACCATACCCAGTTGTTTTGTTTGTTTGTTTTTGGTAGAGTTGGGGTCTCACTCTAATCTCCCTTTTAAGCATGGGTCTAGAAAAAGGATATACACATAATGGATATTTTGTTATTCAGTTTACGAATTTATTTACATAAAAATCCAAGTAGTGTTCATGCTTTTTCAGACTCAATTATCCATGAAATTAGAATTCTATTAAAATCTTTTAAATATTTACTAATATCCATGTACATCTATCTTTAGTACTCTATGTAAAATAATCACTTATTTAGGCAAACACCATACAGTTCTTTTGCAATAAAAATAGAAACAAATTTCAAATTCACCAAAGCACACCATTATTTCCAGTCTTTAGAAAGCTCAATTTTCTTTAATACAATCCTCTTCTGATAGATATTTAGACTTTTCCCATTTTTGTAATTTTAAATAATATTGCAATGAACTTCCTTATAAGACAGCCTTGTAATTATCTCCCAAAAGTTTAATTGTTGGGTCAAATCATAGTCAGATATTAGATTTTGATACACATTATCATAATGCCTTTTCAGAATGATTATAGTCATTTGCAATCCCAACTCACTGCATGGAATGCCCATTCCACCATACTCCATAGTATACATTATCATTCTTTTTTTAGTATTTTCTAAACTAACAGGCAAAAATATTTTACCTTGCTTTGCCTCCTTTGTTAGAAATTGATGTTTTAAAAAACATATCTAATATCTGTCTATCTATCTATCTACCTACCTACCTATGTTTGTATTTTCACTTAGAATTAGTGAATTGAATGGGCCATTGTACCAGATATTTCACTCATTCATTTAACTAATATTTATTTTCTAACTCCTTTATTAAGTCTATCAAATTAATATTTATTAATGTAACTTTTTGTTAGATACTAGAGATAAAAATGTAGACAAAGAGGCAATGTTCCCTACTCTGTCTGAGTTTGCAAAAAATTACCTGATAGTGTTGCTTTTAAGTCTTTTTGTTTTTTCATTATGTTACATACTATATGACATACATCACTAAACTACATTGGTCATGCTCTATCTTTAAAACTAGTTATTCAAAATATGGTAGATCAAAATACTGTGAGGAAGAACACTTCATTAAAAAATATGAAAATTCCAAGGGGATGGGAGGGATTCCATGTGGATAGTGATTTAAAAGGATGACTATATTTTGAAGCATGAAAAATAATGTCATTGTTTTACAGAAGCAATTTTTATGTAAGGTAAGAGACAAAACTACTAAAAATCAAATTACCCATAGGATTGATAAGGACCTAGGTAACTTATCCTGTGATAAAGAGTATGCTAAAGTTTCTTCTAAAAAGTGACTTCACTTTTTTAATACATAAAGCTACTGCCCAAAGGAATATCTATTTAATGTAAGCTGTTTTATCATACATATTTTTTAAAACTGGATTTCAGTTTAAAATTTCTCTTCTTTAAATTAATCATTTTGGTTTGTTATCAGAAAGGAAACATGTGAAAGAATGCTTATAAAAAGACGGATAAAATTGGAAATTAAAACCTTATTTCTGAGAGTGACACTGGGAAAAAGAAATACTTCGTAATCTTGGAGAAATCCCAAATGGCCACTGCTTGAAATGACCCTTTTCTCCCATTGTCTCGGAAGACATTAAACCTATTCCATAGAAGGGAGATTTTGCTGCCCCCCTCAAAGGCTTCTTATGATTGCAGAATGACCTATTTAAGAACTGCATAGTTTCTCATGGAGGACACATTTTGGCACTCTCTTGTAATTATCTTCATTTACATAACTGGCACCTAACAGACTACTCACCAGAGTGGAACAATAAGCTGTACTTACTCTGATCATCTTTATGTTGAAGTTAAGCCATTACACTGAATCCTAAGACATGCTATTGTGAAGTCCCCTGGGATTTCTACTGCTATCACTTGTCTGTTGTTATAGGAGGATGCTTACTGCCAGAATCCTCTGGCAGAAACTCAATTTCGGAGTCCAATACTAATGCATTACAAAGTCTGCAACAGCTGGGACACTGGTATACAGAAATGAGGCATTCTGAAATTTGAGGACAAATCCAAAATACACACTCAGGACCTTCCTGTGATTCCACAGCCATGGAAATAGCTATTTTTACAAAAGGGATCTTGTCAAAATCTTACCCTGCCAACACCAAATTAGACACTCATGATTTGAGCTTCTATGGTATTGCTACCTCCCTACTCTTCTTTAATTAAAAATTATTTTAAAGATCTTAGCTATGCCATGTTTAATGTGTCTTGGAAACATGAGACAAGAAATGTATGTAGGGGATAAGATAAAGAACACCTTGAGCACATCTATCTACAGGGCAGTAACATTCTGTGAAATAAATAGTTGCTGTGAAGATGAGTTAGATAACAGGCACTAGAGGAGAATGGTGGAGTAGAATAGACACATAGTACAAAGTAAGAATAATGACGGTGATGCAAACTGACAAATAACAGTATGATATTTTCAATTCCTGTCATTTCTATGTCTACTTACTTGAAGAATGATAGCAAATAACTAACAAAGTGATTAACTCAAGCAAAATTTTACATTCTTAAAATTCTAGGGCCAAGCATGGTGGCTCATGCCCATAATCCCAGCACTTTGGGAGGCCGAGGCGGGAAGATCACTTGAGATCAGGAGTTCAAGACCAGCTTGGCCAACATGGTGAAAGCCTGTCTCTACTAAAAATACAAAAAAATTTAACTGGGCATGGTGGCCCATGCCTGTAGTCCCAGCTACTCAGGAGACTGAGGCAGGAGAATCGCTTGAACCTGGGAGGTAGAGGTTAAAGTGAGCTGAGATCATGCCACTGCACTCCAGCCTGGGCAACAGAGACTCCATCTCAAAAAAAAAAAAATTCTATAGAATCTTTGGGTCAAAGGGCTGTTACTGTTACAGGCAATTCTTAGAATATTACCTTTATTACACTGTGGTATCTGTATAATAATTCACTGTCAAGCATTGTTTCTGGTAAGTTAGTCAATCAATTTCCACTTGGGGAAAAAACATAAAAGTATTTTCCTATACAAGGAAAATAAGAACACTTAAATTTCATAAATTTCATTGAATATTATTAAAACACATTTTACTTACAAATACTGTGCGGTGTTTTGATCCTTTGCTTAAAAGTATATTTTGAAATATATTACTTTAATTTGTTTTGTATTTTATATATACATTGGTATAAAAAGGGGTGGACAAAACATGTACAGACTTATAATAGAAGTCCTTTCCATGGGTTACCTGGGATGTTTACAAAATCAATTTAAAATGATATTTGTTTATAATAGTCACCAAAAAATACTTAGCAATAAATATAACCAAGGAGGTGGAAGATCTGTACATAGAAAATGATAAAATATTGATGAAAGAAATTGAAGAAGACACCAACAAATTGACAGATATCCCATGTTCATGGATTGGAGGATTAATATTGTTAAAATGTCTATACTGCTCCAAGTGATCCACAGATTCAATACAATTGCTATCAAAATTCAAATGATATTTTTCACGGAAATCGAAAAAAAAATCTTAAAATTTGTATGAAATCACAAAAGACCCCAATAGCCAAAACAATCTTGAGCAAAAAAGACAAAGCTGGAGGCATCACAACTGTCTGCTTTTCAAAATCTACTATGAAGCTATAGCAATGAAAACAGCATGATACTGGCATAAAAACAGACACAAAGATCAGTGAAACAGAAAAGAGGGCCTAGAAGTAAATCCATGCACTTACAGTCAGTTGACTTCCTACAAAGATGTTAAGAACACATAAAAGGGAAAAGGCAATGTCTTCATAAATGGTACAGGGAAACTGCATATATCCACTAGATATCTTCTGGATATGCAGAACGAAATTGAACCCTCATCTCACACCATAAACAACTGTAAATGTAGATAAAAAACTGCACTAGAAGAAAATACAAGGGGAAAGTTCCAAGACATTGATGTAGGCAAGAATTATTTGGATATGAGCCCCAAAACACAGGCAATATAAGTAGAAATAGACCGACGGGATTGCATCAAACTAAAAAGCTTCTGCCCAGTAAAGGAAACAAGCAATAAAGAGACGACCTATGGAATGGGAGAATATATTTGCAAATCACACATCTAGTAAGTTAAATATTCAACATATATGAGAACTTCAAACAACTCAATAATAAGAAAACAAGTAGTTTGATTAAAAAATGGGAAAGAAACTGAATAGACATTTTACAAAGGAAGATATACACATGACCAACAGGTATATAAAAAATGCTCAACATCACTCATCATCAGATGAATACAAAATAAAACCACAATGAGGTATCATCTCACATCTGTTAGAATGGATATTATTTAAAAAAAAAAAGAATGGTTACTATTAAAAGACAAAGGTCAGGCACAGTGGCTCACACCTGTAATCCCAGCACTTTTGGAGGCTGAGGCAGGTGGATCATGAGGTCAGGAGATCGAGACCATTCTGGGCAACATGGTGAAACCCCATCTCTACTAAAAATACAAAAATTAGCTGGCCATGGTGGCATGTGCCTGTAGTCCCAACTACTCAGGAGGCAGAGGCAAGAGAATTGCTTGAACCTGGGAGGCAGAGGTTGCAGTGAGCAGAGATTGCGCCACTGCATTCCAGCCTTGGCAACAGTGTGAGACTCTGTCTCAAAAAAAAAACAAAAAACAAAAAACAAAAAACAAAGAACAAAAAAATTACCAAGTATTGGTTAGGATGTGAAACCTTTGTACGCTCTTGGTGGGAATATAAATTGGCACAGCTATTATGGAAAACAGTATGGAAGTTTCTCAAAAAATTAAAAATAGAACTATCATATGATGCAGCAATCCCACTATTAGGTGTATATTCAAATGGAATGAAATTAGTATGTCAAAGAAATATATGAGCTCCTAGGTTTTCTTCTAGGGTTTTTATGGTTTTAGGTGTAACGTTTCAGTCTTTAATCCATCTTGAATTAATTTTTGTATAAGGTGTAAGGAAGGGATCCAGTTTCAGCTTTCTACATATGGCTAGCCAGTTTTCCCAGCACCATTTATTAAATAGGAAATCCTTTCCCCATTGCTTGTTTTTGTCAGGTTTGTCAAAGATCAGATGGTTGTAGATATGCGGCATTATTTCTGAGGGCTCTGTTCTGTTCCATTGATCTATATCTCTGTTTTGATAACAGCACCATGCTGTTTTGGTTACTGTAGACTTGTAGTATAGTTTGAAGTCAGGTAGCATGATGCCTTCAGCTTTGTTCTTTTGGCTTAGGGTTGACTTGGCGATGCGGGCTCTTTTTTGGTTTCATATGAACTTTAAAGTAGTTTTTTCCAATTCTGTGAAGAAAGTCATTGGTAGCTTGATGGGGATGGCATTGAATCTATAAATTACCTTGGGCAGTATAGCCATTTTCATGATATTGATTCTTCCTACCCATGAGCATGGAATGTTCTTCCATTTGTTTGTAACCTCTTTTATTTCATTGAGCAGTGGTTTGTAGTTCTCCTTGAAGAGGTCCTTCACATCCCTTGTAAGTTGGATTCCTCGGTATTTTATTCTCTTTGAAGCAATTCAGGACATAGGCATGAGCAAGGACTTCATGTCTAAAACACCAAAAGCAATGGCAACAAAAGCCAAAATTGACAAATGGGATCTAATTAAACTAAAGAGCTTCTGCACAGCAAAAGAAACTACCATCAGAGTGAACAGGCAACCCACAAAATGGGAGAAAATTTTCGCAACCTACTCATCTGACAAAGGGCTAATATCCAGAATCTACAATGAACTCAAACAAATTTACAAGAAAAAAACAAACAACCCCATCAAAAAGTGGGCAAAGGACATGAACAGACACTTCTCCAAAGAAGACATCTATGCAGCCAAAAAACACATGAAAAAATGCTCATCATCACTGGCCATCAGAGAAATGCAAATCAAAACCACAATAAGATACCATCTCACACCAGTTAGAATGGCAATCATTAAAAAGTCAGGAAACAACAGGTGCTGGAGAGGATGTGGAGAAATAGGAACACTGTTACACTGTTGGTGGGACTGTAAACTAGTTCAACCCTTGTGGAAGTCAGTGTGGCGATTCCTCAGGGATCTAGAACTAGAAATACCATTTGACCCAGCCATCCCATTACTGGGTATATACCCAAAGGACTATAAATCATGCTGCTATAAAGACACATGCACACGTATGTTTATTGCGGCATTATTCACAATAGCAAAGACTTGGAACCAACCCAAATGTCCAACAATGATAGACTGGATTAAGAAAATGTGGCACATATACACCATGGAATACTATGCAGCCATAAAAAATGATGAGTTCATGTCCTTTGTAGGGACATGGATGAAATTGGAAATCATCGTTCTCAGTAAACTATTGCAAGAACAAAAAACCAAACACCGCATATTCTCACTCATAGGTGGGAATTGAACAATGAGAACACATGGACACAGGAAGGGGAACATCACACTCTGAGGACTGTTGTGGGGTGGGGGGAAGGGGGAGGGATAGCTTTAGGAGATATACCTAATGCTAAATGATGAGTTAATGGGTGCAGCACACCAGCATGGCACATGTATACATATGTAAATAACACATTGTGCACATGTACCCTAAAACTTAAAGTTCAATAATAATAAAATAGAAAAAGAAAATATAAAAAATAAATAAATAAATAAATAAATTGAATGTAAAAAAGAAATATGTGAGCTCCTATTGCAGCATTATTTACAATAGCTAAGATATGGAATCAAACTATTCAGCTCTAAAAAAAAAGAAAATTGTGTCATTTGTGACAACATGGATGAAGCTAGAGGACATTATGTTAAGTAAAATAAACCAGGAATAGAAAGACAAATATTCCATGATGTTACTTGTATGTGAAACCAAAAACGTTGAACTAATATAAATAGAGTAATATGGTGGTTACCAGAGGCTAGGGGGATAAGGGATTGGGGAGATGTTGGTCAAAGGACATAAAATTTCAGTTAGACAGGAGGAATAAATTTAAGATATCTGTTGTACATCATAGTGATGATAGTTAATGACAAAGTATAGTATAATAGACAATAGCTAAGGAAGTAGATTTTTAACATATTCTCATCATAACAAAATGATAAGTATGTGAGGTAAAATACATATTAATTCAATTTAGTCATTCTGCAATGCATACCTATATGAAAACAGCATGTATATATACAATATAACTTTGTATACATACAGCATAGTATTGTATATATTTATGGCGTGTGTGTGTGTGTGTGTGTGTGTGTGTGTGTATAAGATACAATGTTAAGATCAATTTTAAAAATGTTAGTGATATATAGATATACACATATGTACAATGTTAACTTATCAATTTAAAAAATGTTAGTGATAAAATTTGTACTGGGGTATGGCCACAATGTCATAAATATTTTCACACATTTGAAATACGTCTTAGCAGTTTGGACCCTATTTTGCTTTAAAATAGGCAACAGTTTGCCATTTCCTGTATGCCTTTTGTTTGTGATATATAAAAAAGCATAATTTAACACTAAATATAGAGAACACTTAAATTAGAAAATTATATTATGCAAGATTCTAAAAATTAGGACTTTTTAGCTGAAATTTACCTTTAAGAACAAATAGTTTACTCTGCAGATTTATGTTTAAATAGGACTTCAGAAAGAACATGAAAAATACTGAAAACAAACCAATTGCTAGGGCTCTTCTACATAAAACTTTTTATGAAAATATCAAATTGTGCTAAATTTTCATTTCAGTTCACTGAGGACATCTACTACAATGGTTCTTTACCCAGAGCATCATCAGAATCCCACAGAAGGCTATGTTATAAAGACAGAATCTTAGGCTCAACTCCTTAAGATTCTGATTTAATTAGGCTTGAGGTGGGGTCTAAGAATATCTATTTTTTTAAAAAGCTTTCCAAATGATTCTAATTATAAGTCAAAACTGGTAACTACTTCTTTACTAGGTAAATTTTGATACCCTTACTAATTATAGTCATCTGTATTACTAGTTATTAATCATAATGATATCCCAATGCATTACACAAAGCATGGAAAGAAAGATGTCCCCTGACCATTTGTTGGTTCTGTTTCCACTATATTGTATTAATTACTGAAACTACAATTACAGAATATAACATTTTACAGCTAAAAAAGCACTCTGGAGAATATTTCATTAAATCTCCTCAAACTGTATTATGAAAGTAGTCCTAGAGAGGTTGAGTAATTTAACCAAGGTAATAGTGTTTTGTTGTTGTTGTTTGTTTTGTTTTGAGATGGAGTCTTGGTCTGTCACCAGGCTGGAGTACAGTGGTGAGCGATCTCAGCTCACTGCAGCCTCCGCCTCCCGGGTTCAAGTGATTCTCCTGCCTCAGCCTCCAGACTAGCTGGGACTACAGGTGCGTGCCACCACTCCCAGCTAATTTTTGTATTTTTGGTAGAAACGGGGTTTCACCATGTTTGCCAGGATGGTATCGATCTCTTGACCTCATGATCAACCTGCCTCTGCCTCCCAAAGTGCTGGGATTACAGGTGTGAGTCACCACACCCAGCCTAGTTTTTAAAATAGAATTAATTTGACCCCAAGAATCCCAATATTTTCTTTCATTTTCCTCACTATACTACTAATTTTTAAAGTGTATGCATAAAAACAAAATTATGGCTTAAAAAATTGAGATTATCCTATTCTCCATTCAGTTCCCAAAAGATGACATCCCTTCTTAAAGACAATATTCCTTATTCACTCTGTCCTCCCTACAGAACCCTATCAGAAATCACTGAGCAAACCTTTGGCCTGCTCCTCTCATTCATGCTGTGAGAAACTGCTCCATGTGCTTCCATGAGAACTGTTACATGGAGCCACTTCCATCCCACTCTGTTCTAGGCCTCTGAGATCTAGACTCAGACACAAAGGATCCAGACATTACTCTGTTAGTATTACTTAAGTCATGTTATGGTTATAAATAAGCTTTTGAGAATTCGTATGGGATCATACACAACACTGTTTCTATGATAACACAAATTTCTTATCAATGGGCATAGAAATGATTGTATGTAATAATGCCTATTAAGAAATGAGGGACTGCCTGTTAGTGAATCTTAATGAAAATATTTATAAACATGCTTCTCTCTTATCAAAAGCTCTGCCTTTCTGTTCACTTTGAGAAGGTCTTGCAATAACATAAATTGGAAAAGGCTGTTGCAAGGCGCTAGAACATGACTTTTCACAAATATAAAGCCAATAACTAACTATATTAACAAAAAAGAATATCCAAATTATACAAAAACAAAATCAAACTCTTAAGTTATAATAATATAATCATTTCCAGCTGATAAATGAATAATAATGACATATAGTATGATTATTTAAATTGCAATTTATTCTATTCATTTACTTGGTGTTTTAAAAGATTTTTTGGATAGAAACTAGTATTTTAAGCCATATTACTGAAAATTAATTACAATAATAATTATAAAACATTAAAACATGGACAAAGTAAATGATTATGCAGAATACAATTTTAGCAATTAAACATAACCTCAAATTTATAGAAAAGAATATGTTAGCTTTCAAGAGAAAAATAATGAAAGCAAAAGTTGGTTGGAAATACCACAATATCCTTCACAATATCAAGGATAATGAATATCCTTCATTAAAGTTATTAATGAATTATAAATTTAAAGTACCATTAATAAGAACAAATTTGTATTTTGTAGTATAACTGTCTAGCCATTACCTCCTCCCTAAAATTTAACTTATCCTCTACTCCAAAACATGTCCTAAGGCAAGTTGTCTGATTAATTCTCCTCTAAAAATCTGGCTAGTCTTTGGCTCTCCAGTGAAATTATTCCTTCCCCCAATGCTCACACTCACTGATGCAAAAGCTTTCCTTTGCAAGAGTCTTTTTTTGATTCCTTTCTTTTTTCATTGCAGCAGCACACAACCAGTTTGTATCAAGAGATATCGAGAAATGTCAGTAGATACTTTTTGTTTTTTAATTATTATACTTTAAGTTCTGGGATACATGTACAGAACGTGCAGGCTTGTTCCATAGGTATACATGTGCCATGGTGGTTTGCTACACCCATCAACCAGTCATCTACATTAGGTATTTCTCCTAATGCTATCCCTCCCCTAGCCCCCCACCCCCTGACAGGCCCTGGTGGGTGATGTTCCCCTCCCTGTGTCCATGTGTTCTCACTGTTCAACTCCCACTTATGAGTGAGAACATGCAGTGCTTGATTTTCTGTTCTTGTGTTAGTTTGCTGAGAATGATGGTTTCCAGCTTCATCCATGTCCCTGCAAAGAACATGAATGCATCCTTTTTCATGGCTGCATAGTATTCCATGGTGTGTATATGCCACATTTTGTTTATTCAGTCTATCATTGATGGGCATTTGGGTTGGTTCCAAGTCTTTGCTATTGTGAACAGTGCTACAATAAACATACGTGTGCATGTGTCTTTATAGTAGAATGTTTATAATCCTTTGGGTATATACCCAGTAATGGGATTGCTGGGTCAGATGGTATTTCTGTTTCTAGATCTTTGGGGAATCGCCACACTGTCTTCCACAATGGTTGAAGTAATTTATACTCCCACCAACAGTGTAAAAGCATTCCTATTTCTCCACATCCTCTCCAGCATCTGTTGTTTCCTGACTTTTTAATGATCGCCATTCTAACTGGCATGAAATGGTATCTCATTGTGGTAAAAGACATACTTTTTAAAGTGCCCTTTATTCTATCTTTATATCCATTTGGTTCAAAAGATTACCACATTTGTCTATGGTAAATCTTAAGGAAAAGTTTGAAATTATAAAATCAACCTTGTAAGTTACAAATAAGCAAAATGGGCCCTTTCACAGAAGCAACAGTTAAGTATGAATTACATCTCCACTCTTGTATTCTTCTTCTTATCCTATTTTTATTTGCCATCCTTTTCCAACCCATTTCCTCTGCTTTGTTCTACCATGCCTTAAACACCAAATAAATGCCATGGCCATAAAGAGATAATTGAATGGAATAAATACTGGCCTTCAAAAATTTAACTATGAAGAGAGAATAGCATATCAGTCATGGAAAATGAAAATCTTCTGTCTGTACCAGCAATCAGGACAGCTCAATTACACTGAGATGAAAATTTTGATTCACCTCATTCAGGAGGTCTCTTCTGTACACTTACTTTAAATGTGAAAGTTCAAAATAGGATATAGCAACATGAATCTCACTTCTAATAAGCCATGAAAGTAGTTTGGACAAAAATGCATTGTGAGCTTCTCTTTGCTCATCATTTAATGTCAGTCTTTTCCCAGTTCTCATCTACATTTCCTTTTTCTTATCACTGTGTACACTGGCTGCTATTTCTCAGCTTTCTGACCATGTTTTCTACCTCTCCCGATCTCAAAGTGTTTGTGAGCACCTTTTTTTTTCTCTCTTTTCCCCTTTTCTTCTTTTCCCTTTCCCTCTCAACTCTTCATTAATTCACCAGGTGGTCTTACTCAGACTCATGATCTTGAATAGCATCTATATGCTGACAACTCATAGATTTTTATCTACAGTTCCCATGTCTCCCATGAACTCCCTGAATTTGTCCATTTGCCTTGATCATGCCATTTGTTTCTCAAATAAAATTATGAAATTTAATAATTTATCAACTGAACTCCTTATTAACAAGCCCCCCCCCCACCAAAGAAAACAAAACAAAACAAACAAGTACCCTTCTGCTCTTTTTCAATTCACTAATTTGGACTAACCACAAATGTTGCGATCATCCTTGATTCCTCTTTATCTCCGACATACTCACATCAACCTATCAAAAATTAACAAAACCTTCAAAATGTACCCAGAATTTATAAAACTTTATACCACTTCTACTGCATCCAGCCTAGTTCAAGCTCCTATCGTTTCTTCTCTGGACTTTCATAATACCTTTCTCTTTTTTTCCATTTTCCTCTTTCCATTTCCTTCAAAATATTTTGCACAGAGCAGCCACCCAAATAAACCTTTTAAAACTTATTGCACTCCAGCCTGGGCAACAAGAGCGAAACTGTCTCAAAAAACAAAACAAAACAAAAAACAAACAAACAAAAAAACCATTAAACCACATCATGTTGATTTCCTTTTCTAAGGCCTCCAAGGACTTCCTGTCTTGTTTAGAATATAATCTGTACATAAACTGTCCAGTTGCTACCCTGAAGACTCTGACTTTCATACTATCATGCCCTTTGCTCACTCTGCTCCAGACACACTGGTATCCTTGCTAAACCTCAAATAGAGAAAGCACACTTCCATCTTAACACCATTGCACATACTGTTCCCTCTGTCTAGAATCTCTCAAATACACAAAGCTTGCTCTTTTACTTCTTTAAGATCTCTTTAATAATGTTCCTCATAATAGAAGCCTAAAAACTTTTAGAGATATGCTTGATTTGTCCTGGCCATGCCTCCATCCAAACCTTCCCCATGTCTTGTCAATACTGCTTCCTTAATATTTGCTATATTCATTACTCTACATTACTGTAACTACTGCCTCAATCCCTCAGGTCTTATCTCTTGTTGGCTTATCAGAGTAACCTACTAAGTGAATACCCAATTTTAATTCTTAAAGTTTAGCCCAGATCAATCCTTTTTACTGCTGTTATTCTAACCTTATAAAATTCAAACTTGATTATATCATTCTCTGCTAAAAATCTCTTTAATGGCTCACCTTTCTAAAACTTAATAGGTCAAAAGTGAGGATGGGGTCTTAAAGCTCCACCCTTTAGGTTTCCTGCTCCTCTTCTCCTTAATTGGTATCCCTAAGGAGATTTCTTGGGTTCTATAAGGGCTCTCCTTCTGTACAGGCATCCTGTGCTCCAGCTAGGCCAAAGCACTAAGACCACATGCTTTTGTAGGACTAGATCATAAGCTCTAAGAAGGTAAAGATCATTTCAGTTTTATTCATTCATGTGTCCCCAGTTATTGGCTCACTCTACCTCACAACTAGCTGCTAACAAACAATTGCTAAATGAATGAATCACTCTACACTTTTGGACTGGATGATCCCTCTGCCAGGGAAAGCTTTTTTCCTTCCCACTCTGCCTCTCCTTTTGTGTATTTCTCAAACCTACTCATCTTTCAGGACTAAGCTTGAGTTTCACTTTCACTGTAGTCTCCTGACTTTTTTCTAAGCAGAAAAAAGTTGTGCTTGTTATTTCATAGCCAATCCACTATCTATCACATTTAAATTAATACTTTAATTATTTAATAAAATATGTTTTTTAAAAAGTATGTATGCTTTCAGGGTGAGAAATATGTCCTATTTATTCATTTTTGCATTTCTATCACCTAGGACAGTTTCTGACATATAGCAAGCACTTAATGTCTTTTTGGATGAATGCTGAATGTTATCATTTGTTCTCAGGTGAAATGAACTTATGCCTATCTCTGTGGCAGAGTCTTCCAGGGGAATACTCAATATATACTGCCTCCTTCTTCCTTACTAACAAACATGACTATATTAGAGAAGATAATGTGTACTGGTAAAAACTAATTTCTCTCTCCCTCAAAGTTAGGGGTATCTATGGAACATAGTTTTAATAGATGACACATCAGCAAAAGTCAACAGGGGAGTTTGCTTTCCTTATGCAGGCATTCTTTAGCCCTGTGGCCTTCCCCTTATTTCTGCATGTATTGGGACATAGTCCCCACTATCTTGTGACTATAAAGGACAAGCCAATATTATTACCAAAACTTCAGCTGTGACATCCTTCAGTCATTGAGTCAATGCCAGCAAGCAATGACTTCCAGACTTTTCATTTTTTTGCGAAAAAATTAATTTCCTAATTTGTTTATTTCTCAGTTTTTAACATCTCATTATCCTTGAGATAAGGAATATATTTACAGATCCAAGATCAAGTTCAATTTCAACTTTTGGTCAAATAAAATAAGTATCATCACTCTATGTACACAATAGTGAAATTGCATCCTGGAAAACACATCATCACAATTATGAATAAATAAGTAGTTGTCATTGCAACATTATTTAGAATAGCTTCACTTCTACTTGCTAAGATGGCTTTAAGGAAATCAATGGAGAATTTTAGACTCCTGACAAGAAAGAAATCAGGTAGGATAGATAGATTTTCCATTTTGTCTAATTAGATACACGGCTTCTTAGTTATTGATACGAAAGTTTGTTTTTGGTTTATTTGGGGGGGGTAGGGGTAAGAATCTAATTTCAGAAGAATGTATTACTTCCAGGACACCAACTGATAGTGTTTCTTTGGGTTTTAAACATCAACAGTATTTATTTTTAGAGATGAGTGGTTATTAAAGATTGTTAAATATAGCATTAGGAAACATTTTATATTTTATCCTTAACAGCTCTTTTTACTTTTAAAGGCCTGATATGAAAAATAATTCAATATTCTACGAAGACATTTACTCCTACAACAAGCAGACATACATTAGCCCACAATAAATATAGCTTATAGCTTATATATCTCCTCAAAGCTTTTCTTACATTCAATGTTCCATCACTCACTGAGGAAGCCCTAGTGAGTGCCAACCACTGAGCACTTAATCAATGAAATCAGGCCAGTTCTGGAGCCTTGTGAACTTTGAATTTGTACAATATTTGAAACAATATTATATACATTTAAATTAGGTTGCAATAAATGTGAAATATTTGGTATAACCTTTGATGCTGACATTTAAACATCTTCAAGAAATCTGACTCCATGCAATTATAAAAATAAAAAATGGGAAAACATACTTTGATTAGATATATATGTATATATATATATCTCAAGGGAAAATAAATATCAAATAACTATTCAAAGAGGTGACATGAAAGTGATTAATACAATTTGATAATCCATGATTAAATTTTCCTGTATTAACATTTTGGTAGTACTAATATATGATTTCTGTCTTAGTTTCCATGAAAGTATACTTATATAATTGATACAAGAGTACCATGATTAAGACCTCAGTTTTATGAAAAAATATGAAGACATTTTGGAGTTGCAAGAATTATGCTAACATAAAGACAAAGTAGAAATAAGACAAACAAACAAAAAAGGCAGAAAACTTAGGTCAGATTCACGTAATCTTGCCAAAGTTCATATAGCAATGTATAAGTAACTGATCTTGATTAGTTGGTAAATTGCTCAGTGTCATTGTTCATGTCTCCTTAGTATGAATAAACAATAATCATTACTGTTTTCTTGTCAATATATTTGTTCATTCACTAAGCAAGTATTTATTGAGCATCTGCCAAGTGCTACATACTTTTGCAGGTACTGATCTGACTGGTATTAGCTTTTTTTTGTTGTTTTTTAATGTGGGAGTGGAAGTAGAAAAGATAAAAAGGTTGGTCATTTTAAGGTGTTTCAAAGAGCTAAAAATGGCAAACAGTATATATAAAGACATGTTCAAGAAACAGTACGCTACAAAAAAGTAAGTAGAATGAGATTGCTGGAGTTTGGAACCAGCATAGAAATATACAGCAGGTCTACTACTATGTTCCCAACTACCCCCGCCCTTATACATAAAATACATGACTTTTACATAACAGCATTTTTATCAATTAAAGAGAGGTGTAACTGTAGACTCCTTCTGAACACACAAAAACCCTATAGATCACATAATAGAATATCTACCTGCCATCTATGACGTGGTTTTAAAAATGGTAGAAATGAAGACCCCCCCAAAAGAAGTTGTAACAGGTTGGTAAGGGCTTTCTAGTTTTGTTCTGAAATCAATTAGACAGCACAAAAACTTTTGTGTTGATTTTTTTTTTTTGGAGAGTGATTATCCTAACTTCACCTATTATTTGATCTCTAAATACTACTGAAATAATTTATAAAATTGATAGATAAATATGCATATAAAATTAAACCCCTCTGCATTAAAATAATTAAAAGGAATGAGTGCAAATAATCACAGAAAATAATGAAAAGCCTGACATTTTAAAGGTAATTCAATTTCATTAATTTCAAGTACATATAGCAACTTGAACACTTAAGCTAAGTGTTGCCAAGTAGAAATCCTGCTGACCTGTCTTAATTAACAGAAAAGAATAATTTGTAATTAGCACATTATTTATATGAGAATGAGTGCTCCTACATTAGTTCAAGTGTTTGAAAACAATTTGATTCCTTAAATCCTTCCCCCTATAATCTTGATTTAATGAATAACTTGTTTAATTAATCTGAGATTTATCATATAAATTAGTGAGGTTTTATTCCAAAAAAAGAAACAGAGACAACAAAGGAAAATGGAGAAATGAGAAGTCAGAACTATGTTTGAGGATATGCATATACGAAAATCTAAATGCATGATTTGAATGGATAAGTAACCAACTAATAGTTAAAACAAATCAGTAATTTTTTAATTAAAAGCAGTCAAACTAATTGTGTCTGGAGACTTAGTAGTTCAGGTTGTTCTAGTGAAAAAGCACTAAAGTCAAGGCTGAGTGAGATCCTGAGCATTTTTAAAATCTAATACCAATGCTTTTTACTGAGTCATTTAATCTCTATGTGATAGGGAAAAGAAAGGGTCACAAAGAGGTCATGATTATGTCCACATGATTCCAAACATCTGGATGAAACCTGAAAAATCTATCCACATATTTTATACAGAAAACATCTGTCTATGTGCATAATTTGCTTAGTTTTCATCCAGATGCTTATCATGTTGACATGACATTCTCTGCATGACTCTTTTTCTTTTTTTGGGTGAATATTGATACAGCCTCTTCTCAAATATTTTAATAGGTAAACCGTAAATATAAAAGATGAAATGTATTATAAACACTTTATATAACTTTAGTAAATTTTACTTAAAAATGAGTAAAATATACTGGAACTATTTATAATGTCGACACCAAGGAACAGAAATAACATCAGCTAAATGTGGTATATCAGTAAAATTATGGAATTGTACTTACTATACAAATGTTGCTGGGAGTATAATCTACATAAGTACAGGTGAAAGGCAGATACTATCATCATGGCTCAACACTCTCTTGAGAAATTTAAGTGAAAGAAATGTATAAATGTTCATTGTAAGTAGGGCAAATGGAGAGAAAAAAGTAATAAAAGATTCTGAATAACTGCTTAAAATTATCAATATAACATTTAATGCAGAGTACAGACTGTAAGATTTTGACAAGTAAATTAGAAAAACATAGAAATGGAATTGATTTTTATAGATTACAGTAAAAATTAACTCTGTTACTTTTAAATTAACCTGTGTGAAAAATTATCAAAACATATATTTGCAAAAACTGTGCAATCGCTTTCAAAATATTTTTCCAATATTTTATTTTTATGTACTACCTAGCCATCATATTTGGCATTTGAACTTCCATAAGTTGTATTAAGTCCACATTTTTCTTAATGCTTGTTAGAAATATATGGTCTTTTCTTTAATGAACATTATTATTCATCTACAAATCAATAAAAGTAAAATTTATTTATATTAAATTTTGATATAATTTTAACTACATTAAAATTAGGCTACTAAACAGAGAAGCAGCAATATTGTATTAAGGAACCAGTGGGGACAAAAAGAGCACAGGCTATTTATTAATAAAGTCAATCAGAAGAATAAAATAATATGAAAGTTCATATTGAGGTCCAGATTGGGGGAAAAAGTAAACAACTTTTAACAGCAGGTAAAAGGTGGATTAATTTGGCTTATTTTAACTTAAAAGACAAAATTCCAACAAAGTAAATTATATTAAATAATTATATTAAATAATAATTCCAACAAAATAAATTATATTAAAACAAGAATGAAATATAAAATTAGATATAATAAATGTATCCTTGATGTTGATAGAGCATGATATCCAAAAATAGGCTACTTTTAATATTTTTATATCAAGATATATTAGAGAATAGATGCCCATTACCCTAAAATCAGGATCATTGATCTTGGCTTTGCCATTAGTGTGGTTTAGCCATTGTCATCCTTAGATAGCACTGGTCTACTCTAATGTCTGAGTTTCCACAGATGTTCAGATGGTAATACAATAAAAAAATTTTAAAATCTTTATGATAAATATATATTCCTAAGTTAACTTATTTTCAAAAATTAAAAGAAGGTACTATTTTGTCAGGTCAAATTTGCTGTCACTTGAACCAAAAAAATGATTGAAAAATGTATAAAAAATAGCAGACTGACTCAGGATATATTTTGCTTGAGGAGAAAGGGGATCCAATAAACTTCACAGAAAGAATAAACTAAAACAAAAAGAAGCACAATGGTTTTTCTGTGTGCTACTTTCGGCTGTGCCATGCCTGAGCAGAGGAAAAGAGTTTCACTCCTGTTGTTTATTGATTTTCTAGATTAAGAATCCCAGTGAGAGAATTGTAACAGACAACCATAAAATTATTTTTGGTGTGCTTATTTGCCTTTCCCTTGCATCTATTTGGCCTGTGCCTGTAGACAATTATGCGTTCTAGCCTAGACTCAGGTGCTAATAATGAAGGACAAATAGAATCATATGTGTAAACTTCCCCTTCTGATGAAAATTTATATTAACTTTCTGCCACTGTAAACAGAACTGCATAGCTCAGCGTCCCTGATGAATTGGTGATGAATTCAGTCATTTATATCCCAGGAATCTGTGCATTTATGGGAAAAGATGAAAACCGTCTGTATTGTGTAACCTTGCACTTTTTGAGTAAGAAAAAGAAAACACCAGCCTGTTTAGTTCATCACTTAAAGTGTGTAAATTTCAACTCAAATACCAGATTTCTGCATGACTCTGTCAGTCTCCACTTTGGGGATCTGTGCCAATATAAACAAGCCAAACAGTGAAGAGTGCCATGTTATCGCTACAACTGTGAACTTATACACTTTCAGCCTTCCATAAAAATTGTTATGAATATCTTTACAATACAACAGAATCTTTGTTATATACTGAAGCTGGACAGTTTGACAGTTTGGCAGCTCTGTTGGAGAACAAAGTAATTTGGGATAGATAAGAACATGGCTAGTGTTTTTTCTGAAACTAAAAACATTCCATCCTACTTTTAAAACTATACTTCCAAAACACTGTCAGTTTCTTTTTTAACTTAGCTAGGTTAATGAATGCATATATATGGAATATTCATAAAAGAACAAAATTTCCTTTTTAATATAAGGCTTAACATTAGCACAGATATGCCTTAAGTATGCTGAATGACCAAAAAAATTTACAATATTTACATGCAGAGGTTTATTTTAAGTGCTTTTGGTTTTGTCTTAATATAAACATTTAGGTAAATGCAGTTTTAAACCCCACACTTTAGAAATATGCCGATGGCCTGAAAAATGAAACAGAAAACAAAATATAAGCCTCAATTCACAGATTATTTCTAGACACAATTAGATATGTTGGAGATTTAAGTTAAAATAAGAAAAGGCTACCAAAGCTTGTTTCCAGTTTATTAATATTAAACATTTATCTACATGTAGATTTCTTTCATTTCCCTAAGACTGTTATATAAATGTGTATTATAAAATTAAAGTATTTTCTCAAATTTTTCCATATCCTTACAAGATTTTAAGTTAAAAGATCAATTTAAAAATAATTATGAATTTCACCGTTTTAATCACATGAGAAAAGCAGAGATTGTGTATTACTAAAATATTGGAAAATATAGTTAAGATAAAGTATATTTTATTTTTACTTTAACACTTAAATGTAACTGGATATATTTTCTTTCTATTTGAAAAGAAAATGTCTTTCAAGTCCATGTTTCACAGCTTCAAGGTTGCACACCTTTTCATGATACACTTTATCTCAAAGTTGTCTGTGGCTGTTCCTATCACTCTGTGTGCATGACCTTTTAGTAAGCTGAAGAAGATACAGTTATCTTCTTTTCTGACATGCAACATCTATCAATCAACATGTTTTCATGTAATTTATTCAAGGCAAATAGCAGCTCCTAAGGCTAGTGAACCGCAGCACTATCCCAGTGATTTTGATTAAGAAATGATGTGCACAGCTTAGGTGAGAAATGAAAACCGCACTGGAGTATTGATAAAGATGTATCAAAAATAATAAAATTGAACCAAAGTAACAAATGAATATTTAGAAAAATGAATATACAGGCTTGGCGTAACTAACCTTAATAACCTCGCTTAAAATCTATTCTAATAAATTGGATGATGTTTAAATTGATGAACTTCTAATGATACCAATTTAGTGTACCTTTAGTCTCTGAGGCAAGCATCTGTAGTTCTGTTGGGTTAATTCACATTTTTCTCATTGAATCAAGAATGTAAATTAAGACAAAATGATTCTTTTTCAATTTCATGCTGAAGTAGCTCAAGTTAGTGGATGTAATTTCTCCTAACAAGAAAAATTTATCACTGTAAAGCTCACTCAGTCACCTCCTATAGTGAGTTGTGATATGCATTTATAGAATAGAATGGATAAAAAAACTGATAAATGTGATAAACGAACAGGCCCTACTTCAAGAACAGATAGGCACAATTAAATTAGTTTCAACAATTCCCCATCTTTATCCTGGCTTAAAACATCTTTGCATTAATTGCACTATTACGAATCATAATTACTTTTTATGTGAAAAAATGCTTGTTTGTTTGTCTTTCTCTATGGTAGCAAAACCTCTACTACAAGGAGTAAAGAGGCTTATGTTCCAGCCCTGATTCTACCACTAAAGAGCTGTATTACTTTGGGCAAGTAGTCTTAGACGCCTCAACTTATTCATCTAATCCCTCAAATCTCTGTATCCCTAAGGTTCTTTGAATCTGAATGCTTAATGCTGTGGATAATGATATTTCTTAAAAGAAAGACCTACTTTTCCTCTGTAGATTTTAAATGTAGATAACATATAAAATATAAATGAAGAATACATAATCTAAAAGGAATGGGTTGTATATATTAATATATGTATACATAATATTTTAAAAGTAAATATACAATTTTAAATAGCAGTAAAGACTTCAAGCCCCATGAAACAATGGAATAAGTACTTAGACATCTAGGTTAGGTGACATAAATTCTCACCTTGGTTCTGCCATTAACTAGCCTCACTGACGACGAAAAAATCCTTGAGCCACTATAAGTTTCAGTTTCTCATTTTGACAAGAGTATCTTTATTGACGTTACATTCTTTTTTTTTTTTTTTTTTTTGAGATGGAGTCTTGCTCTGTCGCCCAGACTGGAGGGCAGTTGCGTGATCTCGGCTCACTGCAAGCTCCGCCTCCTGGGTTCACGCCATTCTCCTGCCTCAGCCTCCCAAGTAGCTGGGACTACAAGGCGCCCGCCACCAAGCCTGGCTAATTTTTTGTATTTTTAGTGGAGACGGGGTTTCACCGTGTTAGCCAGGATGGTCTCGATCTCCTGACCTCGTGATCCACCCACCTCGGCCTCCCAAAGTGTTGGGATTACAGGCGTGAGCCACCGTGCCCTGCTGACATTACATTTTTGATTCCATTTTATTAACCCAAAACTATATTAATCCTTTTGAATTCTATTTCCTGGCAAAATTTGGTATAGTTCAGCATCTTCTATAGGCACATAAGTTTTAATGTTATTTGTTAATTAATTAAGCAATCCTTCAACTTGTCGTTAAAAAGAAACTTAAAATGACCATTACATCGCACAAATAAGAAGGTAAGTTAAATGTGTTTTTATTTAAAAAGTAAAAAACCAAGAGAAAAAGTTTTAGAATCAGGACAGTCACATCATTAAGTGTTATATATTTGCTAGAGGTGAGCCACAAATTTAATGCTGAGCTTTCTAACAGCTCGTATGAAGAGAAAATCATAATTAAATTACAAGGTTCATTGTGTAAGATGAAAGGAAGTAAGTTGCTCACAAACAGAACTATTCCTAACAGTGAAATCTGAGTTATATTTTTACCCCAATGGGATCTTAGGTAGCAAACACTGGAAAAGATACTGAACGACATCCCTAAAACATTGTTAAATAAAGTAGCCAATTAAGTATTTTTAAAACTATAGTGCTCCTAAATTTAGGCTACTGATATTAAGCAATTTTATATAGATCCATTATAATGGTGGTAGAGTTATGAGGCTATCAGCAATAACCCTGTACTTAATTAATCAAAGTTAGATTTTAGAGGATTTAATGAAGTGTGTATCCTGCATGCAATCCTCCATAATCACTCTGGGACAAGCTTTTGATAGGTATTGAGCAAAAGTGAGCTGGATCTCATGATTCCTCATAAGTTGCAGTAGTTCATTTCTTCTAGGCCAGTGGTTCTCAAACTTGAGCATGCATCAGAATTACCTGCAGGGTAATTGCTGAGCTCCAACCCCAGGGTTTCTGATTCAGTAGGTCTAGGGAGTGGCCTGAGAATGTGCATTTCTAACAAGTTCCCGGTGATGCTGTTGCTGCTGGTCCAGGACTCACACTTTTGAGAATCGCTCTTCTAGGTCATCAGTTAAGTATAGATCCAAAGACTTTAACAAATAACCTGGGTGTAAGAGACAACATCCTCCTGAGGAAAGAAAGATGCCCAACAAGGACAGTGAAAATGAAACAAAGCCAACCACCCAACATGAAATCATCCTGACATATACCCCCAAAAAAATTATTTGCAAAGTATGCCTATAAAATTAAATAAGATGCTGCTGAATAGCTTATAATTTCTAACCAGTTAAAAATGTGGATTATTAACTAAAATCTTTCTTTTGGTATAAGAATATTTTTCTGTTATTAATTAGATAGTTACCTATTAAGATAACTTATAGTTTGTGATAATATGATGCCATCCTCATATAAACAGACTGTTAATATTCTGTTCCCAGTTACTAAATGTTGCTTCAGTGTTGTTCCTCAATCTGACCTTATATGGCTCTTTAAAGTTAATAGTTTCCTATTTTCCAGTGTTTGTATTGCACTTAACCAGGCTGTATTGTATTTACTTTTTCCATATATATTTTACTTAGATGATTACCTTTCTAAACAAGGAAGGACTGCATTTTCCTTTGCAATTCCTCTGCCTAGAATAGGTAGTCAATAAATATTTATTAAAATGATCTGAACAAGAGGTGCAAATGTTTTTAAGTATATTAAGTAAGTCCAAACCATTGTGGAGCTCATCTAAGGATAGAAACTAAACACAGTAAATGAAATGTTTACACTTCCTGATGGTTATTTTTAAATTTATAAACATAAGTTATATTTGCAGTCTTTTCCTCCCATTATTAAAAACAAAGCTAAGTGAAACCAAATTTAAGAAAGAAAACCTCTATATTAACTAAGCAACGGATTCTGAGAGGTGGTAATTAAGATTTATAATCATTTTATAAGTCAAAAACATTTCGGTATCATAGATAATAGTGGATGTTTCAGAGAATAAAATACAGGACTTGGGGACAAATAGATAAAAATTCAAGTCAACCTGTAGTCATTCAGTTTCTGTAGGCTTGTATTGTACAGTGCTGAGTTTTTTAATCTGAATCTCATCATCTATAAGTGGAGATAATATTGTCTCCATCTTATTCCAAAGGATCATTCTTAGGATAATATGAAATGATGAACATAAATGTCATTTGAACACTATAAAATTGTTCTCTTACCTTTAGAAGAAAATATACTTTAAAGCATGTGGTCTTCAGTAAAATATATGAATACCTCTTGGTCACTATTAAACTATCTAAATGCAACTTTTATTTATTTATTTATTTATTTATTTATTTATTTATTTATTTACTTATTTATTTTTTAGATGGAGGCTTGCTCTTTCACCCAGGCTAGATAGAGTGCAGTGGCACGGTCTCAGCTCACTGCAATCTCTGCCTCCTGGGTTCAAGTGATTCTCCTGCCTCAGCCTCCATAGTAGCTGGGATTACAGATGTGCACCACCACACCTGGCTAATTTTTTGTATTTTTAGTAGAAATGGGTTTTTGCCATGTTGGCCAGTATGGTCTCAAAGTCCTGACCTCAGGTGATCCTGGTGCCTCGGCCTCTCAAAGTGCTCAGATTACAAGCGTGAGCCAGCATGCCTGGCCCAAATGCAACTTTTAAAAGTGACCTTTATGTATTTTCTTAAATATATGTATTCGACCCCAAAATTTTAAAAATAACTTTCTCCAGTCTTAGAATAAAATGTAAACACAATAGGAAAGATGAAAGCTGTTATTGGGCACACAATTAATTTAGCAAAATTTAAACTCTGCTACTGTGCTACTAGCAACATTATTTTACTATGAGTGTGTCAGTAGTCTAGATTACATCACTGTCAATACATAATTATTTTGTACAGTTTGAAATTTACCTATCAACTTTGAACTCATAGACTGAGTAAGCCATTGACTTTCTTTGATCCATTGAGTTCTGCTAGATTCCAAGGTATTTAAATAAGTATTACTACCTATATACAACTTTGCACCACCTCCAATACATATGAACATGTGTAACTTGAGTGTGCTTAGTACAGCAAATTAACAAATATTTAGTAAGTCCACTGAGCTGGACTGGATATTATTGGACAGTAAATAAATATGAAACAGTACAAAACCTTCAAGAAATTAAAAATTTAGGTAAATACTACATATATACCTGAACAGTGAAATAGCAATTTGATATATAAATAACAGTACAGGAAGGAGAGAAATGGTTATAAGATCATTCAATAATATATTTCTTTTAGCATTAGTAACTTTAGGTCTTAAGATGAACCTTCTATACATTTGCTGAAGTTGTGGGTAGGAACTAGTTCAATGTATGATTGTATACTTACATCTTAAAACTCAATTCTATACTTCTGAATTAACTAGTAATTTATGATTATTATCTTTTGTTCATCAGTTTCTGAAAGTTTTCCAAACATTAATTGCTCTCTCTGCCTTTTTGCTAGTTTTATCAGTAAATATGTTACCTTCTGTTGATTAAAAAGAAATGCCAGAGTACTCAATGAACATATAATGCACTGATTGGCATATTCTAGTTTCTACTTTGAGTATTTCATCCTTACAAGTCTAATTTAATTAGATTTTAATTTTTTGTGAATAATTTCTTAAAAATTGGAAGACATCAATTGAAGCATGTACAATTAATATTTTTCCCCATAGCAGAATGAAGCATAGTATTATGTTAGTAGTAAATTCTGCCAAATTTATAGTTCTTTATGATAAACAGAAGTTAATGTTTATCCTTTCATAAGCATAAATATTATCATTTTTCTTTTTCAAAACAGTAGCTATTAATAAGGACACAGTCATACTAGGATTATTATAGATTTTTTTTCTAAAAAGTAAATAAGTAAATGTTTATTTTACAAAATGAATTCACCACTTTTGCTATTCAAATCCATTGACATATATTTAATCTAAAGGAAGTGTATCCTGCCAGAGTCACACATAATATTGGTTTATATGAGGAGAGTCTCTAAACCTGCTCTATGATAATTTAATTTGGCTAAAGAAAAAAAATGTTTTGGCAACTAAAATTCTACTTTAGCTAACAAATAAACATTTATTATCTAGTAAATACAGAATTTATCTCCAAGTCCCACATAACTGAGTATTCAGTTAGGTAAAAGCAAACACTATATAGAAAATAAAAATGTGGCCGGGCATGGTTGCTTATGCCTGTAATCCCAGCACTGTGGGAGGCTGAGGCGGGCAGATCATCTGAGGTCAGGAGTTCAAGATCAGCCTGGCCAACATGGCGAAAACCTGTCTCTACTAAAAATTTAAAAAAATAGCGGAGCATGGTGGCACATGCCTGTAATCCCAGCTGCTCAGGAGGCTGAGGCAAGAGAATTGCTTGAATATGGGAGGCAGAGGTTGCAGTGAGCTGAGATTGCAACATTGCACTCCAGCCTGGGCAACAAGGGTGAAACTCTGTCTCAACAATAACAAAAAAAAAAAAAAAAAAAAAAAAAAAAAAGAGAGAGAGAAAGAAAAAACAAAGAAAAAAAGAAAATAAAAATGTACCAAAGTTGCTGAAAGTCTGAAAAATTTTTTGGTTGAGAAAATACATTACAGCAGTTACTATAATACTTGGAATTCTATTGAAAATCTTAAATATTAATAAAACAAATATTTTAATGAAAATACTGTATTTGGTGTTTTCTGCAGAACCTTGCAATTGCAATGAAGCATATCTTGGAACAGACTGTGATTTAAGGACTGCAGGGGATATACAAGCCTCTGGACCCACATGCTGACCTGAAGACAACCAACACATTCTAGTGCACATCAAATTTAACTTTGATCAAGTATTCATAAAAGCTCCAGGCTTGTTACATTTTACAGTTTGTGTATGTGGTAAGGGGTAAAGTAAGAAATGAAAACTTTCATGCCCTCTCTGTAGTACATATAACTGATTGTGTGTGTAATGCTACCTTCTCACAAAGAACTTCATAAGAATGGTGAACATTACTGTGTTGATAAAACCATGCCACCTGTCATTATTAGAATGAAAAGGTGAATGTTTCAAAAATGTAAGCAATGAAAACTAAAGTAAAACAAAACTGATATGGCCTTTGTTAAATGGCAGAATTTTAAGAGAAGTTAAGCATCATTCCAGGCATAATCATTTTATAGAAATATAGCAACATGTCATCAAAATTTTACCGCGTTTTTTTCATATAAATTTCAGTGGCATGAGTCTTTGTTAACAGAGATATTAGATTGGTTTCAATTTTTAAAATTATTCCAGAATTTGCAATATTATTAATTTTATACAAATAACTCTGAGGGCAAATACATCTTCCATTGTTTTTAAATGTTCTGATATTCTATAAAATATGGATTTTTATTATCACCTTCTTTCTAGTAATTACTAGCGGTCTGAGAAAACTTGGTCCAGATTACTTTAGTTTTCAATGTTTATTCCACAGTTTTCTTGGGTGCTGGCCAAGGATAAAAAGAGAAATATTGTTTTAGCAGGTCATGGTGGCATGCATTTGTAATCCCAGCTACTTGGGAAGCTGAAGTAGGAAGATTGCTTGAGCCTAGGATTTGGGAGGCCAGCCTGGACAACACATCAAGGCTTTATCTCATAAACATACAAACAAGAAACAGAGAAAGAAATACTGGTTCAACAGTATCATAGTCTGAATTTGAAGCAAAAATTGTGGTGGTACTGAACTGCAACTTAGGAGTAATTTCAAGGCAGTTTCTTTTCAAATTATGTTATGAATATTCTAAGTATCAATACTTTAAGTTTTTATAAAGTTCTACTTTTTATCACTTTGGGCAAAATGTCTTAAACTTTACTTTGTTATTGCAACATCAATTTGGTAAAATATGTATATCTCTTGACATTTAAAAAAAAGTAATAATTAAAAAGTTACCTCTAATTGTCTAAAAATAATCCTCTGGTATTCAGAAATATGTTAATTCAAAAACCCTCATTCTGACAGCATAGAAAGAAGAACTGTTGACATTAGAATTATAGAACAAGTTTTCTGTGAATTAAAGACAAATAATAATATTTAATTCTATTAGATAATTTCTTCTTATGGTAACATCCTGTCAGAAAAGACTACTTTTACAATCTCCATTTCTTCACAAAAAGAAAAAAAAAAAAGGCCACATTGTCCCAAAGTGTCTCCATGATGCAGAAAGCATCCACAACGTAGAAGGGCACAAATCTATTAAAGATGCTTTGTTTGCATATAACTTTTCAGTTTTCTTTAGTAAATCCACTTGTGTGTAAGAGTGTGTGTGTATGTGAGAGAGACAGAATGAGAGAGAGAGAGAGAGAGTATGTGTGTGTGGGTGCGTGTGAGATAAAGTGCTTCTGGGTATTTTCTCCCTGTATAAATGTACTTAGTGTTTTGTACATAAATGATATTGATCTCTGTGCATTTCTAATAGACTTTTTAGAGCACATTTAGGAGCACAGCACTATTGAGTGAAAGGTACAGATTTTTCATATACCTCCTGTCTTCACAGAGTGATACGTTTGTTATAAATTCTGAACCCATATTGACATATCATTCTCACCCAAAGTCCATAGTTTATATTAGGGTTTTCTCTTGCTGTTTTACATTCTATGGGTTTGGAAAGAGTCAAGACCCATCAGTGTGCTGTATTCAGGAAACCCATCTCACGTGCAGAGACACACATAGGCTCAAAATAAAGGGATGGAGGAAGATCTACCAAGCAAATGGAAAACAAAAAAAGACAGCGGTTGTAATCATAGTCTCTGATAAAACAGACTTTAAACCAACAAAGATCAAAAGAGACAAAGAAGGCCATTACATAATGGTAAAAGGATCAATTCAACAAGAAGAGCTAACTGTCCTAAATGTATACGCACCCAATACAGGAGCACCCAGATTCGTAAAGCAAGTCCTTAGAGACCTACAAAGTGACTTAGACTCCTACACAATAATAATGGGAGACTTTAACATCCCACTGTCAACCTTAGACAGATCAAGACAGAAAGTTAACAAAGATATCCAGGAATTGAACTCAGCTCTGCACCAAGCGGACTTAATAGACATCTACAGAACTCTCCACCCCAAATCAACAGAATATACATTCTTTTCAGCACCACACCACACCTATTCCAAAACTGACCACATAGTTGGAAGTAAAGCACTCCTCAGCAAATGTAAAAGAACAGAAATTATAACAAACTGTCTCTCAGACCACAGTGCAATCAAACTAGAACTCAGTATTAAGAAACTCACTCAAAACTGCTCAACTGCATGGAAACTGAACAACCTGCTCCTGAATGACTACTGGGTACATAACGAAATGAAGGCAAAAATAAAGATGTTCTTTGACACCAACGAGAACAAAGACACAACATACCAGAATCTCTGGGACACATTCAAAGCAGTGTGTGGAGGGAAATTTATAGAACTAAATGCCCACAAGAGAAAGCAGGAAAGATATAAAATTGACACCCTAACATCACAATTAAAAGAACTAGAGAAGCAAGAGCAAACACATTCAAAAACTAGCAGAAGGCAAGAAATAACTAAGATCAGAGCAGAACTGAAGGAAATAGAGATACAAAAAATCCTTCAAAAAATCAGTGAATCCAGGAGCTGGTTTTTTGAAAAGATCAACAAAATTGATAGACCGCTAGCGAGACTAATAAAGAAGGAAAGAGAGAAGAATCAAATACACGCAATAAAAAATGATAAAGGGGATATCACCACCGATCCCACAGAAATACAAACTGCCACCAGAGAATACTATAAACACCTCTACGCAAATAAACTAGAAAATCTAGAAGGAATGGATAAATTCCTGGACACATACACCCTCCCAAGACTAAACCAGGAAGAAGTTGAATCTCTGAATAGACCAATAACAGACTCTGAAATTGAGGCAATAATTAATAGCTTACCAACCAAAAAAAGTCCAGGACCAGATGGATTCACAGCCGAATTCTACCAGAGGTATAAGGAGGAGCTGGTACCATTCCTTGTGAAACTATTCCAATCAATAGAAAAAGAGGGAATCCTCCCTAACTCATTTTATGAGGGCAGCATCATCCTGATACCAAAGCCTGGCAGAGATACAACAAAAAAAGAGACTTTTAGACCAATATCCCTGATGAACATCGATGCAAAAATCCTCAATAAAATACTGGCAAACCGAATCCAGCAGCACATCAAAAAGCTTATCCACCATGATCAAGTGGGCTTCATCCCTGGGATGCAAGGCTGGTTCAACATACGCAAATCAATAAACGTAATCCAGCATATAAACAGAACCAATGACAAAAATTAATTCAAGATGGATTAAAGACTTAAATGTTAGACTTAAAACCATAAAAACCCTAGAAGAAAACCTAGGCAATACCATTCAGGACATAGACATGGGCAAGGACTTCATGTCTAAAACACCAAAAGCAATGGCAACAAAAGCCAAAATTGACAAATGGGATCTAATTAAACTAAAGAGCTTCTGCACAGCAAAAGAAACTACCATCAGAGTGAACAGGCAACCTACAGAATGGGAGAAAATTTTTGCAATCTACTCATCTGACAAAGGGCTAATATCCAGAATCTACAATGAACTCAAACAAATTTACAAGAAAAAAACAAACAACCCCATCGAAAAGTGGGTGAAGGACATGAACAGACACTTCTCCAAAGAAGACATTTATGCAGCCAAAAGACACATGAAAAAATGCTCATCATCACTGGCCATCAGAGAAATGCAAATCAAAACCACAATGAGATACCATCTCACACCAGTTAGAATGATGATCATTAAAAAGTCAGGAAACAACAGGTGCTGGAGAGGATGTGGAGAAATAGGAACACTGTTACACTGTTGGTGGGTCTGTAAACTAGTTCAACCATTGTGGAAGTCAGTGTGGCGATTCCTCAGGGATCTAGAACTAGAAATACCATTTGGCCCAGCCATCCCATTACTGGGTATATACCCAAAGGATTATAAAACATGCTGCTATAAAGACACATGCACACGTATGTTTATTACGGCACTATTCACAATAGCAAAGACTTGGAACCAACCCAAATGTTCAACAATGATAGACTGGATTAAGAAAATGTGGCACATATACACCATGGAATACTATGCAGCCATAAAAAATGATGAGTTCATGTCCTTTGTAGGGACATGGATGAAGCTGGAAACCATCATTCTCAGCAAACTATCACAAGGACAAAAAACCAAACACCGCATATTCTCACTCATAGGTGGGAATTGAACAATGAGAACACATGGACACAAGAAGGGGAACATCACATACCAGGGCCTGTTGTGAGGTGGGGGTATGGGGGAGGGATAGCATTAGGAGATTTACCTAATGTTAAATGACGAGTTAATGGGTGCAGCACACCAACATGGCACATGTATACATATGTAACAAACCTGCACATTGTGCACATGTACCCTAAAACTTAAAGTATAAAAAAAAAAGTGTAATGACATGCATCCACCATTAGAGTATAGAATATCATAGAAAGTAGTTTTACTGCCCTAAAAGTTCTGTGTGCTCCACCTATACATCCCTACCTCCCTGAGCCCCTGACAATCACTGATCTTTTTACATCTCCATAGTTTTGCTCTTTCCAGGATGTTGTACAGTTGGAATCATATAGTATGTAGCTTTTTTAGATAAGCTTCTTTCACCTAGTAATGCGCATTTACATTTCCTCCTTATCTTTTCACAGTTTGATAGCTCATTTCATTTTAATGCTGAATAACACTCCATTGTCTATATATGCCACAATTTATCTATTTATCTATTGAAAGACATCTTGGTTGCTTCCATGCTTTGGGATTTATAATTAACCCTACTATAAACATTCATATGCAGATTGTTGTGTGGATATAAGTTTTCAATCCTTGGGGATGCAGAAGAGCACAATTGCTGATCATATAGAATATGTTTAGTTTTGTAAGAAACTGCAAAACTGACTTCGGAAGTGGCTGTACCATTTCCGCATTTCACCAATAAGGAACAGAAGTCCCTGTTGCTCCACATCCTTGCCAGCATTTTTTGTCAGTGTTCTGGATTTGGGCCATTCTGATAGTAGATACACAGCAATATCTCGTTGTTGTTTTAATTTGCATTTCCTTGATGACATACAATGTGGAGCATCTTTTCATATACTTACTTGCCACCTACATATTTTATTTGGCAAAGTGTCTGTTGGGGTATTTGGTCCATATTTTAATCAGATGGTAAATACACTTTTCAACTTTAACCTCCACCTGGTGAACTTCACAGTTGGAAATGAAGGTTTATTATCTGTATTCTTCTGGGCTTGTGGTAGGTAAAACGGGCAACAAGGTATGTGTGCCTTTCTGGTTTCTGCTACTCTCACTCCCAATACAATCTAGTGGCTTCAAGCTCTCAAGCTCTAAGAAGGGAGAAAGATTGGGAATTCATTCAAGCAGAAGAATGGGAAATACTGGAAAGGAGGAAAAGAGAAAAGGACTAGAGACAACTTATGTAATTAAAGGGTCAAATAATAAGTAAATAGAACCAATTTCAGACTACCTCTGGCTAACTCAAATATTCATGTAGTTAGATGAATTGACTATTTCCAAGCTGTAACCAAATCCTTATTGTTTTATTTCTAGTATATTTAAAACAAATATCCAAGGCTAGAGTCTAGTTTCAAAAAAACCCAACTTATATAAATTAGTGAATATTATCATTCCTCAATTACTTTTTAAAAATATTAAAATAAAAATGGAAGTGATATTTTCCATGAAAAATTAATCTTAATTACAAAAAGATATATGTCTTAAAAATGTGGTGTTATCATAGCAGTGTATAGCAGAGAGATCTTTAAATCTTGAAAGGTTTTTAACTTCTAAAATCAAGATCGATTATCACTTAGAAAGTGCCCAAAATATCACTGACAAAATGATCTGAAATAGATATAACATCTGTTTTTGCAGGTGGAGTAACCTAATAAAATCTTAGAGATCACAGTGGGTTTTATTCTTTATTTTTTCCTATCAATCCTTTAAAAGTGTTCATATTTCACAGTATTGTTTTCTTAAGCCTGTTTCCTGTTTGTGAGCTCATTAACAGGAAATATGTCGAGCCTCCCAGAAGTTATTTAGTAATATAATTTCAGAAGTTATAAGGGGGTTATTACAAAGGTTCAATGAACACACAGCATTTAAATATTAGATAATTTAAGGAATTCTTGAATTTTGCAATGTGTCCTCCTAAATTTCTTTAGTTAGGCCAAAGGTAGAGCTTAAACCTTGAACTCCAAATTTATCATTAAATTAATAGGTTGGGATAAAGTTTTTTGTTCATTTTTAACTTTTAATATAACTATGGCCATTTTTTCACTGACATATATGTTGTAAAAACAGCAAAATTGAATCTGAAGATGAAAGTTAAAATCTGTATGAGTTGTATATTGTTATAATCCTGTGGTCTCTATGGATCACATTATCTCAAAAACCTGAGTTTTAAAGAGGTAAATTTTCACACATAAAAAATCATTATATTTTATAAGTATTATATTTCACCAGTCATAGTGGACCAACAAAAAGTATAAGTAGCCAGTCTTTGTAAGTGTTAACCTCCTCATATGACACTGATATGGTTTGGCTGTGTCTCCACCCAAATCTCATTTTGAATTGTAGCTCCCATAATCCCCGTGAGTCTTGGGAGAAACCCGGTGGGAGGTAACTGAATCATGGGGGTGGGTATTTCTCGTGCTGTTCTTGTAACTGTGAATAAATCTCACTAGATCTGATGGTTTTATAGAGGGGAGTTCATTTGCACATGTGCTCTTGCCTGCCACTGTATCAGACATGTCTTGCCTCCCCTTTGCCTTCCACCGTAATTGTGAGTCCTCCCCAGCCATGTGGAACTGTGAGTCCATAAAATCTGTTTTTCTTTATAAATTACCCAGTCTCAGGTATGTCTTGATTAGCAGCATGAGAATTGACTAATACAGTAAATTAGTACCAAGAGTTGGGTGCTGTTGTAAATATACCTGAAAATGTGGAAGCAACTTTGGAATTGGGTAACAGGCATGGGTTGGAACAGTTTGGAGGGCTCAGAAGACAGGAAAATGTGGGAAAATTTGGAACCTCCTAGAGACTTGTTGAACGGCTTTGACCAATATGCTGATGGTGATATAAACAATAAAAGTCCAGGGTGATGTGGTCTCAGATGGAGATGAGGAATTTGTTGGGAACTGGAGCAAAGGTGATTCTTGCTGTGCTTTAGCAAGGAAACTGGTGGCTTTTGCCCATGCCCTAGCAATATGTGGAACTTTGAACTTGAGAGATGATTTGGGGTATCTCGTGGAAGAATTTTCTAAGCAACAAAGTATTCAAGAGGAAGCAGAGCATAAAAGTTTGGAAAATTTGCAGCCTGATGATGTGATAGAAAAGAAAAACCCATTTTCTGGGGAGAAATTCAAGCTGGCAGCAGAAGTTTGCATAAGTAATGAGGGGCCCAATGTTAATCACCAAGACAATGGAGAAAATGTCTCCAGGGCATGTTGAGGACCTTCACAGCAGCCCCTCCTTCACAGGCCCAGAGGCTTAGGAGGAAAAAATGGTTTCCTGGGTTGGGTCCAGGGCCCCCCTGCTGTGTGCAGCCTAGGGACTTGGTGCCCTGCATCCCAGCGGCTCCAGTCATGGATAAAAAGGGTCAAGGTACAGCTCATGCTGTGGCTTCAGAGGTTTCAAGCCCCAAGCCTTGGCAGCTGCCACATTGTGTTGATCCTGTTGGGGCACAGAAGTCAAGAATTTAGATTTGGGAACCTCTGCCTAGATTTCAGAGGATGTACGCAAATTTCTGGATGTCCAGGCAGAAGTTTGCTTTAGGGTTGAGGTCCTCATGGAGAACCTCTGCTAGGGCAGTGCAAAAGGCAAAGGTGGGGTGGGAGCCCTCACACAGAGTCCCCACTGGCACACTGTCTAGCAGAGCTGTGAGATGAGGGCCACCATCCTCCAGACCCCAGAGTGGTAGATTCACTGACAGTTTGCACTGTGCACCTAGAAAAGCTGCACACTCAGTGCCAGTCTGTGAAAGCAGCCAGGATGGGGGCTGTACCCTGCAAAGCCACAGGGGTGGAGCTGCCCAAGGCTATGGGAACCCACGTCTTATAGGAACATGACCTGGATGTGAGACATGGAGTCAAAGGAGATCATTTCAGAGCTTTAAGATTTGGCTATCCTAATGGATTTCAAACTTGCATGGGGCCTGCATGGCTTCATTTTGGCCAATTTCTCCCATTTGGAATGGGTATATTTACCCAATGCTTGTATCCCTATTGTATCAAGAAAGTAACTGACTTGCTTTTGATTTTACAGGCTGATAGGTAGAAGGGACTTGCCTTGTCTCAGATGAGGCTTTGGACTGTGGACGTTTAAGTTAATGCTGAAATGAGTTAAGACTTTGGGGGACAGTTGGGAAGGGATGACTGGTTTTGAAATGTGAGGACATGAGATTTGGGAGGGGCCAGGGGTGGAATGATATGGTTTGGCTGTGTCCCCACCCAAATCTCATCTTGAATTATAGCTTCCATAATCCCCAAGTGTTGTGGGAGAAACTGGTGGGGGTAAGTAAGTCATGGGGGTGGGTTTTTCCCATCCTCTTCTTGTAATAGTGAATAAGTCTCATGAGATTTGATAATTTTATAAATAGGAGTTCCCCTGCACATGTGCTCTTGCCTGCCACCATGTAAGATATGTCTTGCTTCCCCTTTGCCTTCCACCATGATTGTGAGGCCTCCCCAGCCATGTGGAACTGTGAGTCCATTAAACCTCCTTTACTTTATAAATTACCCAGTCTCGGGTATGTCTTTATTAGCAGTGTGAGAACTAATACAGACATGTTTGATAAAGGGTCCGTTTACATTTGTATGGTTCAAAATATGTTTTATTATTAATTCTACATTGCTATCTCATGAAAAGTAGTAGCAGGAGCCATGGCAGCAAGAGTTATTGTAGTAGTATTGACTCCATTTTGCAAATGAGGAGACTATGTCTTTAGGACTTCCGTGTAAAGGGTAAGATTAGGGCTCTGAAGTTATACCATACATGTTTGTATTACAGCTCCACCACTTATTAGCTTTCTCAACTTGGAAAATTTATTTATCAGTTATACACATCATTACTTATTTCCATCTTCATAGTTCATTACCTATTTCTGTAAATTTTGTAAGTGAACAGTACTCATCTCAAAGGGTTATGAGATGATTAAATAAGTGAGTACATGTAAAGTACTCAGAATAATCCCAAAAATGTAGGGTGTTCAATACATATTAGATATTATCCTCCTCCTTATTCTTCTTATTGTTATTAGCATGATTATTACTATTTTCATCAATACTACACAGCAAGTGTAATATTGTCTAGATTTCAACTTAATTTTCAAGGATACCTAAATGTACAGATTTAAACATTTACCCTGAAATACCTCACCTAAATATTCAGATTATATGTTTGCTTAAAAGTTCAGAAATAAGTATCTGTTCACACTGATTAACTTTTATAAACTATTTAAAAAAAATTTAAGACCTCTAAAACAATAAAACATAATATTAGTATTTCTAAAACTATGCTGAATGTTCTTAGTATTTCAAATTCTACCACTGAAGTTCTAAGAAAATATAGCAATATGAAGTTTTATGCTTACAATTATTCAGGTTGAGAATTAGATTGATATGGGTTACTTTAAACCATACGTAGGTGAGGTTTTTAATAAAAAAATTTTCTAAAACATTATTTTCAGAAAAACCTGAGATTAATTGAGACCAAATTGTAAAGCATTTTTAGCAAAAGCAATGCTTTCATTTCAAAGTTTATAAATTCAGCATTTGGGGCAAAGCATATATATTTTATAATGTTAACAAAATCTAGTACTAATGATATTTATTATTACAGGATTCTCAGCTATGCATAAATTCATATATTTCAAACAGATTTTTTCAAGTAAAAATTACCAACTTCTCTTCATAAAAACTACATATTTATTTAAATCCAGAGTACATAGTACCTTAACATTGATAATGTTCCAACCAATACCAATTTTAAAAAAACTGGAAAATTCTGTACAATTAAAAAATAACCCAAAAAGCTATTCTTTATAGCTAACTTCCTTCTGATGTAGAATAGATAATGATTTTGTTATTTTTCTGTTAATGCAACTTGTGATATCTAAAACGTACATTTTAAAGGCACAAAATATTCTTATCTATGATGGCTGTTGGTTAATGACAATGGTAAGGGTTAGTCAGGTGCAATTCAGGATATGATTTCTTATGCAAAAATTAACAATAAATGAAAAAGACCTTCTATATTAATTTTAGAATAAATGACCATTTTATTTGCAGAAATGTGAACAATCAATGTCATTATTATTACCGCTCTGAAAGAAATGTTTAAAAGTCATTTTATTCTCATACATACCGAATACACTACAGTTTATAGAAATCAAGAAGATTTTTATTTGTTCTTGGCAAACCCTGTTAGTGAGCCCCTTGTGTACAGGATATACTGGCCATTTGACCACTGGATTGTACACCAAAATAGTAACATCAATATTATCATGCACTAAAAGGTTAAGATAACTTTGTTTTAGCTTCCTGTTTTGTAGTAGAAACTGAGTTTGAAAGATATATTCAAAAATTCAAGAAGTCAAAATACACATACACAAATACACAAATTCTCTTGCTTTTTGAGGTCAATAGAGCACAATTAGATTATCACAGAGAATTCTAATCTACACTTAAAAAATGTCACTGCAACTAAAAAGATACAAATCGGCAACCTTTGATAAGTTTTATCAAAATTACTTTAAAAGATCGTTTTGAAAATGGGGGTGTTTCCCCCTGCAAAAGAAATTGTTACCCAAGATTTATATTATAGGGAATTCTGACTTCATATAACATTAAGAAGGATATTTTATTCCAATGTGATTTATATCTGTCAATTGTAAAGTACATTTAAAGCTTAATTGAGTAGGAATTTAAAATGCTCTCATGTCTTATAGTACTAGAAGAAGTAGACCAGTAAATTCAAATTTAATTATAATAAGGAGAGGATGTTCCAGGACTGCTTTATTATTCTTTAAAATGCACATCTAATTTAATTACACTAAAATGTCCCATTTATTATAATCATAATTATTAATTGTCCATTAATCTTCAAAGTATTTGTTGAACAACTATTATGTGTACAACACATGTTAAGCACCCTTTGGACACAGTCTTTGATGTCAAAGACTTTATAGAGTTTGTTAAAGAGGAAAGATACCAATATTAACCTTTTTAAAAAACGTCAGTATCATTAAATGCCAAAAAATGATAGCAACATCAAATATCAGATAAGCTTGAGAAAGGAAAGATGTCATCCAGTTGAAAGAGTCAGGATTCAGAGTAATTATGCATCTTGAGTTGGGATATATGAATGAAGAGAGAGAATACCTGACATTGGGTACTAGCATATTCAAACTTCCTGAGGCAAATTTTATTTCAGAGATACCAAGTAGAACTGAGCACAATATTTAGAAGCTTAAAATCTTGAGATTGGTTGTGAGATTTTGAGCAAGGTATTTAATGTTATGATAGTATAAGTTGATACAGGAGGATATGCAAGATTGAAGAGTAGGAAGGAAAAACCTTGGAAGCATGGAGACCAACCATGCAATAATCCAGATCTAAGGAAATAAAGGGTGTGGCAGTGCAAGTGAAAAGAAAGGGTGAAAGTAGATATTCTGACAGAAATTTTAGTCTGGTGATGTTTTTTCAATGAGGTGGAGTAAGTGAGAAAGAAATACAGGATGACTTCAACGAACCTCACTGACTGGAAAAAAAAAGAAAAGAAACAGGAATAAATGAAAACTAACTTGCGGAAGGAGATGTACTATTTACATAGCTTCCATTTACTCCATGAAGTGCAATTTCCATCCTGAAGAATTCTGTGGCTTCAGAAGCCTATCAGCTAAACCTTGTATAACACAGTATATTTTATAAAATCATAGGGTGAAAGGGCAAACTTGGGAGAAAGATTTGACAAGTAATTTCAGTCTAGAAATTTTAGGATTCTCTTCTATCATAAAGTTTACAATTATTAAATGTGAGTGGCAACATTAAAACCATGTCTCCATTGTTTTGTCTATTAGTACATATTGATTAGACAACAGTCAAGTTAATTCAATTGTTTTACCTTTCTTTTTTAACTCTTATTTCATAAATTGACATTTAAGCTTATGTTCCAAATTGAGCATGTGTGCTGTGCAGTAAAAACACATAAAAATATTTATATCTACATGTGTTCATTGCATAGAGCAAGGTAAGAGTAGGTGTGATGGAGAACCAAAAAAGCAGTAAAATTTTCCAAAAGATGGAAATGAAAGGGAAAGAAACAAACTACTGAGAATGTTGGTGTATTCTTTTTTTCTTCGTGATAAAGACATACCTTGTTGTCATTCTTGTATTATATAAAACATATAAAATAATATGCAGTTTTAATGCCAAAGCAGGAAGGGTCAAATTGATTTAAAAAATCTCAAATTACCTTCAGTTGAAAATCCAATTTGGCATAACAATTGAGCAAACTGCTATCTTTAAATTTAAAAAGAAAACAAAGAATATATCATTTAATTATGAAAAATAAATCCTAACGTCAGTCTTTACAAGCCTCCATAACACTGAGAGGATGTTAATATTGCTCAAGGCATTGAGTAGGACTTCTGGGCTAACTGCCAATTCCTATTAGAACTATTTTCTCCTCAATCACTAGTTCAAGCATGCATGATATCACAATGCATAAATAGTAGCACAACAAGTAGGAAATACAAGACAATCCCTCTCTCTCGATCCTCCTGTTATATTGAGTACTAATAGGATTTAATTTCTAGAGTACTGCATGTAGTTCTGGGACCCTGCCAACTAGGAGGAATAGTAACTAAGAAAGAAGAGTAATCAATGGTGATTAAGTTAAAATCAGAACACAAGCCATAGTGCCCCCCTCTTTTTAAAGCAGGTCTGGAACATTTTCCTGATTATACATCAATGTCAACAGAAAATGTCTCAGATAAGGGGGCTGATAGTGCTATAAATCAGGCCTTTCTATTTACCGGGTTACAACTTCTAACCATTATAGATTAGATAGATAGATATATAGATAGATAGATAGATAGATAGATAGATAGATAGATAGATAGATAGAGTTTCCATATGAGATCATCTGCAACGAACAGTAATAGTAACATTTACTTGAGCCAGGGAATTAAATACTCTGGGGGAATTTCCTAGAGGTGACTTGATCCTACCTTCAATAAAGGTAGAGAAGCAGGACTCTAAGTGCAGAGAGTCAGTAGAGAAGAGTGATTAAGTCCACATTAATGTCAATTAATGAGAAAAGAACTATTTAGGAACACATTGGTTGTTCTGAGTGGAGAGTCTTTACTTGTCCCACTCCTCTAGCAGAAGCTATTTTAACCTATTACGCTTTGGGGAAAATTTATTAGTTTGTCACTGTAATTCGGAACTGATCCTTATTATTTCTTAAACTCTTATTTATTGTGACTCAAAGTTGTTTCTCAGGACTGGCTAGGTTTAAGTATAGATTTAAATGTACTTTGAGCTTTTGAAAAAATAAATTAAAATATAACCAAATTACTTCTCTATATAATTATTTATAATAACTTTTAAAAATGTATACAGATAATTTAAAATATGTACATGAGGGGGCAGGAGGGCAAGTAAGAAGCTTATCTATAAAACTCCAAAAGGAAATGGGATGATTGCAATTTTATATACACATAATGACTCAGGTTAGTGTACTACCTCAAACTTGTTGAGTTAAAATAATCTATATCAACATATCCTCAGAGTTGGAAAGAAAATTAGATTTGGAATAAAAGGTTGTTTCTAGCAACACATAAGAGATTTATCCACAAGACATGAAATACTTTAGAGGGTTTTAGTTTTTGTTATTAGATCTGGTTAAATTAATTTTAAACCACATTCATTATCCAGAGCTCGAGAATACTGGGAGTTAAGTGTTTCATCAGCATTTTACTGTTTATTGGGAGACTGACTAATGTCTACAATGATTCTTTAATGATCACTGTCAACTCTTTAGAGCAATTTCCCACTGTTGGGTCTAAGATCCTTGATATCAAAAGGTAATATACGGTTGTGCATGTGTATGTATGTATACGTATATATATACGTATACATACATACACATATATACGTGTATATGTATATACATGCACATATGTATATATGCACACACATATGTATATATGTACACACATGTATATACGTATACACACATATGCATATACATATGTATACATGTATATATGTTTATATATGTATATATGAATGTATATGTATATATACATATATTTACATGTATATGTGTATATACATGTGTCTATGTGTGTGTGCATATATATATAAAATCAAATTCTGTTTTCTGCGTCATGGTGACAATTTAAAATGTATCATAAGTAATAAGGCATCTTTTTTTTCTGAATAAAAGAGACTAGGAAAGTGGACACCAACTTAAAATTTTTCTTTTGTGAATATGGACTTGTTGCTTTTCTAGACAACTTTCCAGTAGTGATTTTGTTTTTGTTTTTTACATGGTAGACTTTAACTCTTTAAAAATGTAATTGGATTGCAAGCTTCCAGTTACAACAGAGGAGGAAGAGGGGGACAGGGGAAAGAAGAAAAATTAATTACCCTTGGCAAGTGTCTAAGTGGCCCTTTATTAGTTTGAGGCAGGCAATGATAAAAGTTAAAATAACAAAATCTTCTTTTGGTTACCAACCTTTTCTAGCTGTCTTGAATTCAAGTTTAACAAAGATGAAAAGCTAGATTGTAAGTGACCAAGTGTCTCTCAAATGTGTCTCTATTAGTCACTGCCCCCTAAAGTCCAAGGTTTAAGAGCAAGAAATTACTCTGTGGCAAATATTATAGAAAGAAGCAGACGGTTGGTTCCAATCTGAATATAAAGATTACTAGGAGTACACAACAGAATTTAGCAATAGTCAGAATGATCAGGATGTAATGGCTGAAAAATAAGCACTATGTCTAGTGTGAACAACTAACAAGCTTTTATGCAACTCATTAGTTAACAATTGGTAAATTGCTGCGGTAACCTATATTAAGACAGTTGTGTTAAGTTTTTCTTCTGATATTCCAATAAAAATTTACTATATATTTATTTCTGAAAAAACAGGAATAATAACATGTGTACAGATTTGTGTTTAAATGTATACTTACAAAAATTTCAATTCACAAATTAAATTTTTAAAACACACACACTTTCAAAGAGTTTCTCTTTAGAATGATACTTAAAAATAATAACAGTCAATCTCCCTCATATATTTACAAAATACTCCTGGCTCCAGAGCTGAGTTTTTTTTTTTTTTCCTCAAATATCTCTTCTAAAATTATCAACACCTTCTCATTTAGTTCTCCATTTGTTCAACTTTGTGCCTTGAACATATGGCAGGTTCAGAATAGTGTGTAGTTGCCAGGTAAATACCATGTTAAAAGTAACTGATCCAAAGTAACTTGACCAAGCGTAACACACAGCATTTCTAATCAAATAAGCAAACTAGTGATGAACTAGATTCCCTCTATTATATTTCCAGAAATAATATGTTACCACATTGTGTCTGTGATGTTCAGGACTCACAGAACTTTATAAATAACCTACTTTTACAAAAAGCCTGCACTCCAATTAAATTTTTAAAGAGTTAAAGTCTGCCATTTAAACAACAAAAACAAAACCACTACTGGAAAGTTGTCTAGAAAAGGAACAAGTCACTATTCACAAAAGAAAAATTTTGAGTTGGTGTCCATTTTCCTGGTATGTTTTACGCAGAAAAAAAATGATGCCTTATTACTTGCGATACATTTTAAATTGGTCACCATAGCACAGAAAACAGCAGAATATGTTTAAAAAGGATTTTAAGGCCTTTATTTCTTGTTTCTAATGAGAGAAAAACTTTCCCTATAACATAATTTTGAAATAGTGATGTAAGGATCTAGATGTAACAAGCCTTTACCATATAATACGCTACTGAAGCACCACTTTCACAAAATATAACTTAATTTTGTAAATGGAGAGAAGGGCAAAATTTAACCAAGTCACCAATATATCATGCTAAACGTGGTGTTGTGTTAGTTCATTTACAAGGAAAGGGAATTTAGGGAGATCAATTTAAAAAGCACACAAACCAAGATGTATCCAGATTTGTCACTGCTATTCACATTTTACTCCCTTTGACCATATTAAGCAGAACTCTCTACTCCATCAGGTCTGAATACAAGGGGTAATGTTCTAGAAATAACTAGCAGCATAGAGCACATGAATCAGGATGATGCTAACTTAAAACCACAAATGTGGTGTGGACTACTGATCTATCAGTAACCTGAGTTTCAGTCTCATCTTTCTCAGGAAAAGTATAAGAAAAGAAGATAAACCAGACCAAGTCCTTTGGTTCTCAATAAGGTCAACTTTTTCTTTGTAACCATAATAAATAATTACTCATTCCTTATTCATAACTTTGTTTAAATTCCTTTGTTTCTTATACTCATAAGTTAGGCCATAATCCTGAATAAGTTTCAAATTGTACTACGTAAAAACAAGCAATAAATACTTTGATTTGCTTGGCCCTAAAAGAGATCCAAGAGGCCCCAAAACATTGGTATTGTAGAGTTTGGTGAAATTCCCATTCAACATACTCATGTGGTTCATTATGATGGATTATTTTGACATATACTTACTCAGTCTCTTTTACTATAAAAATATCTCCAACTTCTTAATAACTTTATCTATTTTTCCTTAGATGCTCTTTGTTTTTAAAAACACTCTACTACATTTTCTTCCTGAGGTCAGCCAACTATAGTACCTCATAAGTGTCTAGCTATAAATACCCTGAGGTTTTAGAAGTCAGAATACTTGATTCCCTCTAGAACCCTTCATCATGAGGCCCAGAAGTTTTTGTAGAACTTTGGGGCAGTGTCTTTAAGAAAGTAACTGGTAGGCTGTTATCTTCTATCTTAACTAAGTTAAATATATACAGTATCAATTCTCCCTTCCTACCTGCCCATTCCTATTTAAGCATATTTATAATTTTTATCTCATAAACATTTATCTGAAATTATCTTTGTATAATTCAATTTTCCCCAAATCCTGTGACAAATCTACTTATGAGCTACAATCTATTACCAAGTTTCTAAGAATTTGCGTGATACATTCTTTTTCATATATATATGTATCAGTTTATATTTATATATAGAGAGATTACTTTCAATGTTTACATTAGATACAGGGGGTACATGTGGCAGGTTTGTTACATGGGAATATTACATGATGTTGAGCTTTGGGGAATGGATCCCACCACCCAGGTAGAGAGCATAGTATCCAATAGGTAATTTTTCAACCCACACCCACTTCCCTCCCTTCTCGCTCTAGTAGTCCCCAGTGTCTGTATGTCCATGTGTGTGCAATGCTTAGCTCCTATTTATAAGTGAGGACATGTGGGATTTAGTTTTCTGTTGCTGTGTTAATTTGCTTAGGACTATGGCCTCTAGCTACATCCATGTTGCAAAAGACATGATTTCATTCATTTTTATGGCTGTGTCGTATTTCATGATGTACATGGTACTATATTTTCTTTGTCCAAACTACCACTGATGGGCATCTGGGTTGATTTCATGTCTCTGCTTTTGTGAATAGCGTAACAATGAACATATGGGTGCTTATTTTTTCTTTAGTGAGTGATTTATTTTACTTTGGGTATACATCCAGTAATTAATTGTATTGCTGGGTTGAATGGTAGCTCTGTTTTAAGAGCTTTGAGAAGTCTCCAGGCTTATTTCCATAGTGGATGGACTGATTTACATTCCCACCAACAATGTATAAGCATTCTCTTTCTCCACAACCTTGCCAGCATCTGTTGTTCTTTTGACTTTTTGATAATTGCCATTCTGCCTGGTGTAAGAAGGCATCTCACTATGGTTTTGATTTTCAGTTATTTGATGATTAGTGATGCTGAGCACTTTTGCATATTATTTGGCCATTTACAGTAGCTACAAAGAAAATGAAATACCTATGAATACAGAAGGTGAAAGATCTGTACAAGGAGAACTACAAAACACCGCTGAAAGAAATCGGGAGATGACACAAACAAATGGGAAAATATTCCATGCTCACAGTTTGGGAGAATTGATATCCTAAACATAGCTAAACTGCCCAAACCAATCTATAGATTCAACACTATTCCTATCAATTACCAACATCATTCTTGACAGAATTAGAAAAAAAATTCTAAAATTCATATGGAACCAAAAAAAGAGCCTGAATAGCCAAAGTAATCCTAAGGAAAAGGAACAAAGCTAGAGGCATCACACTACCAAACTTCAAACTACACTACAGGGCTACAGTAACCAAAACAGCATGGTACTGATATAAAAACAGACACGTAGAACAATAGAACAGAATAGAAAACTCAGAAATAATGCTGCACGCCTACAACCATGTGATCTTCAACAAAGTCAACAAAAATAAGCATGGGAAAAGAACTCCCTATTCAATAAATAGCTCTGGGATATCTGGCTAGCCATATTCAGAAGAATAAAACTGGACACCTACTTTTCACTATTTACAAAAATTAACTCAAAATCAATCAAAGATTTAAATGTAACACCTGAAACTACAAAAATCCTATAAGACAACATAGAAAATACTCTTCTCAACATCAGTCTTGACAAAGAATTTTTGGCTAAGTCCCCAAAAGCAACTGCAACAAAAATAAAAATAAACAAATGGGACCTAATTAAACTTAAGAGCTTCTGCAGAAAAAAAAAAAAAACCCAAGTATCCACAGAGCAAACAGACACCTATAGAATGACAGAAGATATTTGTAAACTATATTGATATTGAATTGATATAGATATAGATATTAGTTTGAATGTTTACATTAGATATAGGGGGTACATGTATATGTTTGTTACATGGTTGTGTGATGCTGAAAATTCTTCAAAATCGTAAGAGATGTTTTTGACTATTAATTAAGGAAAAGTATGCTTACTATTTGACATAGTCATAGTCAATATCTATATCTATTTAGATAGATATAGATATTAGTTTCAATGCTTAAATTAGAAACGGGGTACCTGTGCACATTTATTAGGTGGTTGCATGATGCTGAAAATTCTTCAAAACCATAAGAGATGTTTTTGATTATTAATTAAGGAAAAGTATGCTTACTATTTGGCATAGTCATATTTTTCTCTAAATGACTTTTGAATATTTTAAAAATGTTTTACTTTTAAGGCACCAAGGACATCTCTCTTCAAATTTCCTGGAGTAATTCAAAATGACCACTACTTCGTTTAGTTTCTCCTATGGTCATGTTCAGAGGGCTCCTATCATAAAATCCACTAGGCCTATCTGCTGGCTGTCATGGAATCACGCAAAGGGGCCCCATATAACATATATGCACAGAATTTCTACTCTTTTACTTTCATGCAGGCTTGACTGTTTTCAAATGAACACTGACTTAATATATGATTCACAAATTTGCAATTTTGATAAGTCAAAAACTGTTCAAAGAACATGAAGGACTTCATTAAAATTCAAATAAGGTAAAATTTTTGTAACCTCTGAACTGCAAGATTTATATAGAGAGACAAGTAACGGACTCACATTTGCACATATTAAAATATTTTTAAAAATTTGAGAGTGAAACTAGGGGTCACCTTAAAATATATTTTAACTATATATCAATTTGTTTTGAAAATAAATGTCATGTAGCATACCTAACTTGAACATTGATTTCTAGTACTCTGTAAGTATTTGATAAATTGACAAGTGAATGGATAGACGGATGCATGCTTTATTATGGTCTGTATGAGATTTCAGACTCATACAGACTATGTTGGGCTAGTACCAAGCAGGGCTCATTTACTACATCTTTTACTTTCAAGTTTGTCATCATTCTCTTGAATAAGAACTCAAATCACCTCACCAATGACTTATCTCTATGCCCATAAAACAATTCAAAAACAGTAGTGTAGGAACAGAGAACTGGAACAAGTCAAGAGATGCCAGTTTGAAAAAAAATATGAATATGTGAGATTGACAGACAAAGAAGCTCAGGCAATGACATGTGGAAAAAGTAGATATAAATAGCAGAGGGAATGCTGGTATTGAATTACTGCATGGATTGGAAAACTACCTGAAAATTTAATTGTAAATGTTTGTCAGCAGTCAGGTCTATAATGGTTTATAGCAAGTCCTTTGGTAAAAATTCCCTAACCAATCACCACTAAATCTTATGTTTTGTTACTGATCATCTGCTATTTTCTAGGATATTCAATTGGGTTAAAAGTGTAAGCTTCAGTTTATTTAAAATCAATAAAAATAAATCAGAGCCTGAGTTTAGCTATAACTGGTTTACAACGAGAATAATAGCTCTATGAGAGTCAGGATGTTTGTTATGCTACACATACAGAGAATTTATATGGATCTAATACTAGGCTGTAGGAAAGTTTTCTTTTTCTCATTCATTTTGTTGATGTGTATAGCCTTTCAGTGAACATTTGTATAAGTTACATATGCCAATGTGATTAGCTGGAGTAAGACATAGACAAAATAGTGCCGATTTGAGTATTTCATAAGTAATGCTAAAACTCCTGTTATACTCTTTAGATTTCATTTTAATTAATTTAATAACGAAGACATTGGACTTTGCTATTCTGTTGTTCTGATATCATGGAATTCACCACATGCACAGTATGCAATGAACAATGCTACAATTACATGTCACATATGCCAGTATGCAATCTCTAAAATAGAAAGATGAGGTTTATATCTACCTTATGTTTTTAAGACATGAATTAGAGAGAAAGTTTACTTTAAAGAAGGGTGGTGAAAATGTAAAACATCTATGGTTGCTCTTGCAGGTCTGGTGATGCTTGCAAACAGGGTTGTGAATGTGACGTAAAGAAAAAGATGGCAATGGCCATATTTTTGTTGTTGTTACAGACATTCAGTGAAAAGCTTTTTTTTTTAAACTTGATGTTAGGGAAAATACTATTAGGTATGAATTGATCATGGATAATTACTCGGATTCAAAGCTTAAGTAAATTAGTAGGCTCTGTGGGACATTTTTGACATAGACCTACAGTTCTGGCTGAGATGGTATCAGAACTGTGGGGAGAAAACTTGGCAGCATCTATCACATTAATCCCAGATGCTACCATGGTATGGTTCTTGTGGTTTGGAGTCATTTCAATATATATAAGGGAGGGCTCCCTTTTTGCCAAACGATTTAGAAGGTGTGGTATATAAACCAATTCATTTTGGGCACAGATAAGAGGCATTTCTTCATAAGAAGCTTTTTAAGGTTATGGGCCTGTGTTCTAGAAGAAGTAAAGTTTAATTAAACTCAAAACTAGATCTTTGAATCTACCATACTTACACTCGTTTTGTAGAATATATTATAACGAAATAACTTTTAATAAGCAGACCCCTGATTCCTGCCTACTATGGCCTCTACAGTTTGCTCTGGGGCCACTTCCTCAGAGAAGACTCTTGCGTCTGTATCCTTACTTTCATTCTGGCACCAAGGTTTGGGGATGAGTCTTTCCTCTGTGCTTGTATCTTGTAATGGGGGCTATATTTAGACTACTGAACCTAACACAGGAATTGGGTATTTACTTTTAGAAATCAGTGTCCATCTAGTCAGAGCCCAAGTGGAAATCTCTTCAGATTACCTATCGAATAGATATGAAGAGATATCGAATAGGTATGAATACATGTCAAATCCTGTCTTGACATGTATTATTGCAAATAAAACTTAGAGAGCTAGTGCCTTACTCATTCCAAGCTTAGATATCCTGATCTACAAAGTGTGGTTAATACGAAGGTTAAATGTGATAATGCATGTGAAGTACTTATCATGATGTCTGCTGAAGACAGTAGTGGGAGTTTTATTTGTTTACCACTGTATTTTCTTCTTCTGTTCTACTACCAAGTGTTGAGAGAATCCCTGTGGAAACTTACATAATATTTTTTCCTCTAGACAGACAGACATGCACACCTACCCACACACACACTCACACATACATTTTTATTGGTAACTCAGAACCATTTTTAATTTAAGAGTGAACATTTGAGCTTAGCAAACTATAAAAAGGAAAACCTTATCTGAACTAAATCTTAAAAGCAGTAAATTTGTAAAGACCAAGTACAAATCTATGAATGGAGTAGTAATACCATTTCAAACTCCCATTTTAAAGAATTTCTAGGCTGGGCACGATGGCTCACGTTTGTAAACCCAGCACTCTGGGAGGCCGAGGTTGGTGGATCACCTGAGGTCAGGAGTTCAAGACCAGCCTGGCTAACATGATGAAACCCTGTCTCTACTAAAAGTACAAAAAAATTAGCCAAGTGTGGTGGTACAGGCCTGTAGTCCCAGCTACTCAGGAGGCTGAGACAGGAGAATCACTTAAACCTGGAAGGCAGAGGCTGCAGTGAGCCAAGATCGTGCCACTGCACTCCAGCCTGGGCAAGACAGAGGCAGACTCTGTCTCAAAAAAAAAAAAAAAAGAATTTATAAAACAGGAGGCCAATAAAGATTCACCTTTTAATAAATTTAGCTGATATAAAATACCCCATATGAAGTTATTTACTATGTTACTGAATATGCTAAGAATTCTCTTGTCAAGTTCTTTTTTTTTAACTTTAAAAGTTCAAGGGGCTTCATCTATCTTTAAACTCCATGCATGTAGCATAAAGAAACCATGATTACAGGTAAGCCCAGCTACTCATTAACCCTTTCAGCTAGTCATATCCCAAACCCTTGAGTGGTCACTGGGTAGTGCACAAATTAGCAAACCTGTTTGCACACTAGTGCAGCACATGAGCTTTGGAGTACAACAACCTAGGCTACAAGTTGGAAAAAAATAAGTCTTTCTTTTTTTTTTTTTTTTCCTGAGATGGAGTTTCACTCAGTTGCCCGGGCTGGAGTGCAGCAGTGCAATCTCAGCTCACTGCAATCTCTGTCTCCTGGGTTCAAGCAATTCTCCTGCCTCAGCCTCCGGAGTAGCTGGGATTACAGGTGCCCGCCACCATGCCCAGCTAATTTTTTTTTTTTTTTGTATTTTTAGTGGAGATGGGGTTTCACCATGTTGGCCAGGCTGGTCTCAAATTCCTGACCTTAGGTGATCCGCCCGCCTCGGCCTCCCAAAGTGCTGGGATTACAAGCGTGAACCACCGCACCTGGCTGGAATAAAATAAGTCTTAAGGAAAGGAACAAGCAGTTTTTAAGAACCACAATATAAGTGGTAATAAATTCTAATGGGAAATGAAAAGGAGCAATCAAGAAACTTTTCATGAGGAAGACAATATTGACCAAAATCTTCACCTATATATGAGTGAGAATTCTGATAAATAAAATAGTGTAAGTTAAGAAAGTGTATTCTAGACTTAAAAAATAGATGGACAAAGACACAGAGATATTAAGGTATGTGTCAGGTTGATTAGCTGATGCAAAGTGTCATGTTATGGTGGGAAATGATACCTGAATGGTAGTTGTGTGACAGATCAATTGGGACTGATTGGAGAAAAAATATAGAAATGCAATATTCTCTGAATACAAAATTTATCATCACCTAAAGATAGTCCACAACTAAGTCAATCTTTTTCATAATTTATGACAATAATAAATTTCAATTATTTTTAAATTTTATTAGCTGTTATTATTCTATACACTATAATTGAAATTGTGGGAAATACACAGTTGAATGAGAAATTAGCCCTCCCTTTAACATACTTAAAAAATACTGAAGAATACAGACAAGGCAAAAGAGAAAATGCTACAACAAGTAAAAACGTAGGAATGCAGAAGAATGGGTAGTTAATACAGACAGGGTATGTACAGAGAACAAGGGAAAGCTTCAGAAATAAATGATACTTAAGCTCATCCCTGAAAATGATGAAGGAAACAGAAAGACACCCCAGGGTTATAGAACAGCATGGAAAAGGCACAGGAATGGGAACTTCAGGTCCAGTTTAAGGAAAACAAGAACACAAAGGGAAATGCTCTCCCCCTTCCCCTTCCCCGAGGGAGAGATAAAAACATGGAGAAGGAGGATGGTAGGTATCTAGGATGAATTGGAAGTCTAACTGGATTTGTATGTTAGGGAAAGACGACAAAATGTGTTGGGTATAATAAAAAGTATTCTGTATAGTATTTAAAGCCATAGGAAAGCAAAGGAAGAAAAGTGTCATAACTGAACTGATCTTAATAAGAAGCCTCTGGCAGTAGTCTGAAAAATTCATTCACTCATCCATCCAGTATATAGAGACCCAACATCTACTACGTGCCAAAAACTGGGCCAGATGTTGGGAATACAATGAACCACCAAAAATAATCTCTGGTCTCATAAATCTTATAGGCTACCAAAAAGACAAATGTTAATAAAATAACCACACAAATAACATATAATCATAAATAGTAATAAGTATCATAAAATAACTTTATAAAATGACTTTATTTGGTTTAGAATGATAAAGCTCTGAAAAGAAGGGATGTTTTAGTTAAAATGGAAGATAGATAGGAACTAGCATGGTATGTGTTTGTGAGCATTTGGGAGGGTCGGGGGAAAACATTCCAAGTAGAAGGAAGATTTTGAACAAAGATCCTGTGGTATAACAAAGAGACTGTAAGGCAAGTTGCAGCTAAGAGAGCAATGGGAGAATATTGTGAAATGAGTAGAGTCAGGGGCCATGCAGGGAGCCAGGAGACAATTTTGCTTTTGTAGGTTGTTTCTAACATTTTTAAAAGTCACTGAAAATTTATTTCATTTGTAGGGCAGTTCATGGCATGGCCACTGTATACAAAATTATATTGAAATTCTTTCCATTTTACCTATAAACTCCTAGAAGTTAAGGACTATCTACAGTAAATTGATACTCCCTAATTAAGAACAATATGGACTATCGTAAGTATGATGTGATAATAACAAAACTCTAAATATCTGCTTTCAAAACCAAAATAATTTAAATAGCTTCATGGTTTAGTACTATAAAGAATTAAATATAACAAATGATCATAATACTTTTCACATCACAATTACTTTCATTTTATTATTTTAATATCTTTTATATTGCAAAAAATTATTACAGATCTAAAATATTTTCCTTTGACATACTATGGCAAATCAGAAGAATAAATAAATAAAAGAAGGTTATAGCTATTCCAGTTACACACTTTCTATAATCTTCATTGCTTCCTAATGCACAAAACATCTGCTTCCTTTTTAATCACCATTTTATCAACACATCAACTTATAAAATTGAGAATTATGTCTGATAAAGACAGAAGTTAAACATAGTCACGGATATTTTCTATAATTCTAGGCATACCAACTAAAATATAAACTTTTTATTGTGGTTTTTAGATATCTTTGTAAAAACTTACCACTGTGAAAATGTCACTAGCAATCAGCTTTGAGGTGACCACAAAGTCAAGAATAAGGATGAGCTGCTCAGAAGGTCCAGAAAGCATTGACCCAAAAAAGAAGTTTTGCACTTTCTTGTTTTCAGCTGGTAACCCTTACTCTTTTAATCTCATATATCATGGTGTAATATTGTATATGACATAGGATATTGTGTGACTGAGACCTTTTTTCCTGTTGAAAACTTGACAGATACTATATATATATACTATATATGTACACATACACTCACATATATTTAGATCTTCCATTTATAAAACTGGCAATGGAAGAAGAAAGACAAGGGGACAGCTCTGATTCTCTCAGGGCATTTGAGTCTGTGGTCAAGAAGGCCAAGAGGAAGAGTTGAACAGGAGCCGATCACAGGCCACGAGAGTGCCAAAGGGAGGAGCTGTAAAGAAAATGAGTCATTTCAGTTGCCAAAAAGAGAGGCCAAGTGAAGACTGAGAATAGATAAGTGCTTTACTAAGAGTTCTTATGTGCAAAATCCAAAAGCAGAAAGAACAATTTTCAAGGTATTCAGTCTTCATTAATGACTTTTTTTCATTAAGTAAATGAAATATTTATTGAGCACTTATTACATGTCAGATTCTGTGTTAACTGATGAGAATTGGAAGTTGAATAATCCTGAGTCTTAAAAAGCTCACAGTAGTTTGCAGGGGATAGATATATAAAAAGATAATTTTGATGTATTGTATCATGCATTCATCGTATTTTTGTGGAAGCAAGGAGGAATGACGCCTAACTTACTTGAGAAGAATTGTTTGAAATTCTTTCTGAAAGAGGGAATGATTGAGATTTAAAAAGAATGAGAAAGAGTTGTTCCAGGTAGGGGATAACATGAGCAAAGACAGGCATTATAGCGAGGACCCGTATGTAGCGTAGGGAACTACAAGCAGGATTGCTAGAGATTAAGTTATGAGCCAGGGAGTGTGAAAACAGTAAGATGGGTAAGTAAGTTGGCACTAAATCATTAAAAGATGTCAATGTCACCTTAAGTAGTTTGGATTTTATCCTGAAGGTAATAATAAACAATTGAAGAATTTTCTTAAGCAAGTGAGCGACATGACAATAACTGCATTACACACACATACACATACACACATGCACACACACACACAATGCAGAGCCAGAATTTGGTCCTGGATTGAATAGATACGGGCAAACTTTAAAGTAACTGAGAAATCAAAAATGACTCCTAGGATTCTAGAACTTAAGAGGATTTCAGAGGAGAAACACTACTTTAGGGGAAGAATAAAATGATCAGTTCTAGAAGTGATCCATTTAAAGTGCCTACTGTCACTAAGGGAAAATTCTCATAAACAGTTATAATGAAATGTACATGAAGCTTTGGGTAGAGATCACAGCTAGGAAATAGAAAAGTTCAGGTCATTAACATATGTATACATTGTAGCTGAAGCATTGCAGAAGAACAGCAGTAGACTGAGGACAATGCCTTTGGGGACGAGTAGCATTTAATGAATGGGCAAAAAAAGAGAGTCTAAAAACCAACAGACAAAGGGATGTGAAGAATACCAGGTGATGGAAAGGTTCTGAAAACCCAGAGTAGAGAGATCCCAGAAGGGCCTTCCAAATCAGATCCACTCCAAATGTCAATGCTTTCTACTACCTTACTGTTAATGCTTTTCAAAAATGACAATATTAATAATAAGAAAGTATCTTCTATTCATAAATTCCTTTTGATTTTTCTAATTTTCTATTTCTTTGTTTTCTTGTTCCCATCCTCCTCAGACCCCAAAGTGTACTAACTATAATAGGGTATGCGATGTGACTGCCAGTTTGTAACAGACAGAGCAAGTAAACAACAACCGGGAAGGCAGTAAGAAGTAAGGAGGTATAAGTGAGAGATTAACTCTTCACAGTTGCAATAGTTGCAACTTATGATGCAGAAAGTAAATCACAGTTGGACTTTGTTTGGCTCATTCAGGTTTGATTAAGCAGTTAGTGGCTTACTCTCACTCTTCACTTTTCTTTCCTTCCGATGCTCTCTCTTAAATCATTTTGGAGTTTACAGGCACTTCTTTCAGGAGCAAGTGGGGAATGGAAAATAAATTCAATTCAAGCAATATACTTATGTAAATGGTGCTTATATTTTTATATGAAAATTCAAAGCCAGATATTTAAAATGAGTATCACATTTGTTTTGACTGCCAACCCAAAGCAGACCACCACCACTCCTCCTTCTAGTAGTAGCCAAGCATAACAAGAAACACAAGCAACCAAAAAAACCACACATTAAACAAATTCTAAGGAATGTATGCAGAAGCTAAATAAACAGTGGAGGTCACCAAACACATGTACTGTCAGGAAAAGGGGAATGAAATCTATGGAAAAAGAGAAACCACCTGCCAATTTCAAATAATTCAACTCCAGGAACTGACTGTGGTGAGCATACTTGCTGATCCTAGACAGTCACTACTCAGACTTTCTATGCTTTGAACATTAGCAACAACAATCTCAAATTTCACACATTGCAGAGCTTAGCACACAGGTGTTATATTTACAATTTCAATTTTGAAAAGTGTCCTTGCTCTATTTAGAAAATAGTGAGCTGTTTGTGGTGTTTTGAATTTGGGAAAAGCAAAAAGAAAACCTTAAGCTTGATTCTTTGTGTCATTCATATAAAACATGTCTCTTCCTTTTGTTACATTAGTTACAAAATTGACATTATCTGGCAACGATTCCTAAAATATGGAAAGCAATAAAAGCTGACTGGAGTTTCAAAAAAGTTTCAACACAAGTGTTCCATGTTTAAGATTTTTCAGTGATACCTGACAGCTTACAAATCCAAGATTGGGCCCAAGACTGGAGAAATCAGTAAATTCATCTACTACATCAAGACTGGCATCAGGAAAGTTTTAGCTGGGAATGCAAAAGACCAAAGTTTGAAGATTTACAAGAATCTCCAATGACAGTACAAGCAAAATCTGAAGAACCAAGCTGAGGTGGCACAAGGTCTTGAAAAGTAAGTAACCATAGTGACAACACATCTGGGAGGCCATTGATACTTAGACATCTGAACAAAGAAGAAATGGATTCTTGGAATGCTGTTGTGCCATAGTTCCCTTGGAGCTACTCACCTGACTGAAATCCTGGGGACTGAAGTCTCTGGGGTAGAAATTTCAGTAATGAGAATAAGAGGCAAGAGCATGGAATAGTTGAGGCATTTTCTGAATAGACAAACTTCCAGCATTACTCCAGTGATGGGTCTCTAGCAAAATTCCAGTAATATAAAGTGGCCATAGGTGAGGAACTGAGGTTTGGAAATCAGTAAGGGCCATTTTGTCAGAATGGAACTCAAAAAGAAAGTAAGCTGAGATCTAGGAACAAGAAGAGAAGCTCCAATGGTTTACTCTAGAAATTTAAATCCTAGTCCATGTTGCAATAAATATGATTTGGGTATAATGAGGGAGTCTAAAGCTAATGCTTCGTGGGTAAGACTCTCAGGAAGGGTTCTCAAATATTCAGGCTTAGCAGTGAGCCTCAACAGATGGGAGGGAAGGGAGTGATTTCTGGAGAAGTCTGACTACTTTCTTCTTCCAACATTGCCATCAGGTAAGGTGTCATTAAAGCACTTAGCCATGAAGAACAAGGGAAGAGAAGAGGGTAAAAATGAAGTTAGAACATGGCCTGGCTACTCAATTGGTAACACTCGCTTCCCAAAGTGTGCTAATCATCTTCAAGGCTTTGCTACAGAAAATAGGAATCTAAGATTGGATAGGCTGTTATCTTTGGGCTATCTGAAATTGCTCAACAAACCTCCCTGCTAATTGGATATTCAAAGTCTGCTAGAATCCTAAAAGTGACAGAGAACTCACTCTTTTAATAGGTGGTTTACTAACCCTTTAGAATACTCTGTTGAAACATTTTTCTTTAAACTCAGCCCAACTCCATCTCTTTAAGGCTTAGACTTTATTGGTTCTCATTTTATCCCCTAGAATCAAATAAAATGGGCTCTAATCACTCTAATAAGTTTCTATGCATCCTATTCACTATCTTATGAATGCCTTCCAAATTGTCTGATACCTCTTAAAATTTATTAACTAGGTGAGAAATTCCAATCTAGTGAGTAAAAAGTAGAATGGGAGTAGTGTCTCTATTCTCTTTCATAAAATAGTTGTGAAAATAAAGCTTTAAAAAAGAACAAAGGCTAGACGTTGTGGCTCATGCCTGTAATCCCAGCACTTAGGGAGGCTGAGGAGGGAGGATTGCTTGACCCCAGGAGTTTGAGAACAGTCTTGGCAACACGGCGACACCTCATCTCTATTTAAAAATAATTAAGTAATTAATTTTTAAAAAGGAATCAGATTGTCCTCTTAGCAATCTAATATTGATAGCTTACCTAAATCAACTATAATGTCCACATCTTCTAAGACAGTATCCATATAATGTGAAATAGATGGAAAAGGGAGTGATTCTTTAAATAACACATGATAATTATAGAAATTTGGAACATTTGGAAAAGAACTAAAATTTAAATCATGTATTACTCTATCAAGGTGTGGGCATGGAAGATGATTACTAAAACAACATGGCACAGATGGGCTAACACTCATGATGAGTAGAGTAGTATGTCACAAACAGGTTTTTTGTTTGTTTGGTTGGTTCTTTTGATTATAAGTGATAAAACCATATAGCCATGAATACTACCATCATGGACTACCATATAGCCATGAATATTTTTGTTTTTCTTGAATTGCTTTTTATGCAAAGGTGCTTGCTCATCGCAAATGTAAGCCACTGAAACAAATGGTGAAAAAACAAAAACAGAAACAGGACTAAAGACTGAGCTCTTTATCACACACACAGAGTTCACCCTTCAGCTAATCAGTACTCTTTGGGCTTGGATGTTCAACTAATTATGATCTACCCAACTACATTATCATCTCCTCCTTATTTCTTTATCTTATTTGGGCTATCATGGGAAACCTTTTCAATTACTTTCATACAGACAACCTACAACACGTTTTTTTCTTTTTTCCTTAGTCAAAACAGACAGTGTGGTTAGTTGGACAAAAGTTTTTCTCTGTGAACTCATGGTTGCTTCTAGTGAACACTGCTTTCCTTTTTTAAAGGTCATAAGTCATCCCTTTAGTTATCTGTTCTGGTCACAATTTTGTAAGTTTGAGCACCCACCTACCTTTCTCTGTCTCTTTTTCTCTCTCTCCTCCCTCTCTCCTTTCTGTTTAAATGGAGGTCTTAGTATCTACCCTTTGCACAGTTCTTTGGGCAACATTTCTGCTCTCCACATTTACTAAAAATTTCCAGACTGCAGTTTCACAAACCTCATTTACAAATGTTATCAACTTACAGGGGAATAAAATTTGTTCATTCTAGGTTTGGAAACAAGGAGCTGCTTTTTTACAATCCTTTCTCTATGGATTCTGTTTCCTTTTTAATGGTATTTGCTTAGCATGTTTTCAATCCAAAGATTGTTCTTTCTGATTTAAAAAAAAATATATAGTCAAAATAGAGCTAGAAACACTGTCTCTCTCTTTGTTAGTTATTGATTACATCTCAAGCATCAGATCTATCATTTCCTTGTTCTTTCTTCTTACTCTGAATATGAGGACACTTGTATTGAAATAATATTTACGGCATGCATACTGTACTGTTTTTTACCTGGACTTACCATTCAGGTGGCTAGTGGGAGAGCCATAACAGAGATTATGGAATGGGGCTAATCCCTCCTACCACCAAACTAATCTAGTCACCACCACTCACTGTATTAAATATGTTGATTTGCATTTTAATTGTATTTTTTTACTTAGAAAAATGTAAATTAAGTAAAATTTCCCATAAAATGATTACACATAAAATGAGTAAGGTCACATATTTTGATATTCAGTGGTCTATCACTTATAATCAAATACATTTTAAATGGTCTTGATCTTCACTGTTCAACATGTTTGCCATTAGCCACATGTACCCATTTATATTTAAATTCCTTAAAATTAAACACATTAAAACATTCATTTCCTCAGTGACATTGGCCACTTTCATGGGCTCAGTAGCCACATGTGGATAGTGGCCATTGTGTTGAACAGCAAAGAGTATGGAACATTTATATCATCACAGAATGTTCTATTGGAAAGCACTGTTCTAAACATTCAAAATGAGATGCCTATTTGATTTTCTTCAAATATAGTTTTCTCCTCCGAAATTTCTACATATACTAATCATTGATTTAACAGGTGGATATATAAATAAACATGCAAGAGCTGGACATGGTGGCACACACCTGTAGTCCTAGCTACTTCAGAGGCTGAGGTCGGAGGACTGCTTGAGCCCAGGAGTTCCAGGTTGCAGTGAGTTATGATTGCACCACTGCACTCCAGCCTGGGAAACAGAACAAGACCCTGTCTCTAAAAAACATAATAAATGAAATTTAAAAAATACAACAATGCATATACTGCATCTTGGATGAACTATTTGCAAGTTATAATTAATGTATTGATTGATTCTTGTATCATTTGCTATAAAAAGACAACTAATACATGTAAACAGATTGTAGTGCTTCAGATCATAGGACTTAATGATTATAGTTAATCTTAATTCCCAAGACATTTACTGCAAAGCCCTTTCTATTAGCACATCAGGTAGCACATTTAGTAGTATTTGGCAACCAGTTACTCTTACAGAGAAAGCTATGATAATCAACTCAGAATGCATATGTCTGATTTCAACTCAAAAGGAAAATATCAGCTCAAAGACTATGATGTGAAAAGATACTATGCTGAGAAGCCGGGCGCGGTGGCTCACGCCTGTAATCCTAGCACTTTGGGAGGCTGAGGCGGGCGGATCACCAGGTTAAGAGATCTGAGACCATCCTGGCCAACATGGCCAAACCCCGTCTCTACTCAAAATACAAAAATTAGCAGGGCGTGGTGGCACGTGCCTGTAGTCCCAGCTACTCAGGAGGCTGAGGCAGGAGAATCGCTTGAACTCGGGAGGCGGAGGTTGCAGTGAGCCGAGATAGCGCCAATGCACTTCAGCCTGGGCGACTGAGCAAGACTCTGTCTTAAAAAAAAAAAAAAAAAAAAAAAGATATTATGCTGAAAATGAGTGCCCAGAGCTGAGTTTTATTTCTGTCCTTTAGTGTTTGTTACCTTTTTTTTTTTTTTTTTTTTTTTTTCACGGAGTCTCGTTCTGTCGCCAGGCTGGAGTGCAGCGGCGAAATCTCGGCTCACTGCAACCTCCGCCTCCCGGGTTCAAGCGATTCTCCTGCCTCAGCCTCCCGAGTAGCTGGGACTACAGGCACGTGCCACCGCGCCCGGCTAATTTTTGTATTTTTAGTAGAGACGGGGGCTTCGCCATGTTGGTCAGGATGGTCTCGGATCTCTTGACCTCGTGATCAGCCTGCCTCGGCCTCGCAAAATGCTGTGATTACAGGCGTCAGCCACTGCGCCCGGCGGTGTTTGTTCTTTTAAGACAATTCTGACATGCACAAATAGAAACCAGAGCTAACATCTGAGTAGCTCATACATTTTTTTTTTGAGCTAGAAACTGTTTTTAATAGATCTGTGAAGAATTTAAAAGAAATTGGCAAAAATAAGATTAATAAAAGAGAGTGGGGAAAGTTAAAATAGTCTAAGAAGCAGGTTGAGGGAAAACATGGTAGCATCCAGCCTAGTGCCTTGCAGATAAGGAAAGTACTGAATAATCAAGGGAAGGGAAGGGAGGGAGTGAAGAAGAAAGAATGAAAGGAAGACAGAAAGGGAGGAGAGAGAAGAAATGGAAGATGGCAAAGTCACAAGATAATGCCACAGGAGAACTTTAAATTTCAGAAAGAAACCTAGTTAGATGTACAAAACAAAAAGCAACTCATGAGAAATAATACAAACCAGAATAAAGCAAGTTGCCTAAAGTTTGAATTTTATTCATGATATAAATACATACAGGTGAACAGTAGTCTTGATATTCAGCCAAAAAAAAAAATTCCACCTCAGAAAAATAACACATATAGCAGGACACAATCATGGTCAAATAGAATAATAAATATCCTAGAAATAAGGGCTAACAATGGTTAAGTAATGACCCATACATTAAAAGGAAAAGTATAATAGTTCACAAAATCAGACAGAACAAACTCTTATGTGATCAGACAACCAAAATGAAATTATTATCAGAAGCTAAATATAAATGTACAATGAAACAGAGAAGCCAAACTTTAAAGATATTCAAAGCAGATAAAACTGTTTTCTTTGTGCTTAAGGTGAGTTTAAGCTAATGAAATCATCATAAATGTCATTTTTAAACTCAAAGATAGGTATGATTATACTTCAGCATTTGCAGAGAACTGATGCAACAGCAGGAGGGCTATTGGACCTTTAACTTAAAAAAAATGCACTAGAGGAGAACTTTTCATTTTCTAGCCCGTTTTTCCTCTGCACACTCAACATAACTTGAGTCAGCAGACACCTTCCCGTCAATAACTGCAGCTTATTAAGACAGTCTCAAGGAAGGAGGGATGGTAAAGATTCGGATAGAGGAAGAAATATGAAAATCTCCAAGGTAAAAAGTAATCCCCAAGTTCTCCCCTTTCAACCTCCCTCCACTTTCCTCCCATGAAGATTCTAGAGCTATAACAAAGCAATTTTCTTATCTCCCTGATATAGTTTTTGATTGCCACTGAAACTATTTCATGTGTACAAATCATTTGCTTTCTTTTCATTTGTGAGAGAACTAAGGAAGGAGAACAAGGAAATAATGCTAAACAATTAATGTAGGTAACTGATGTTATTCATAGGATATGAAAATTATCTAGTCAGACTTACACAAATACGAGGACACTGAGAACAAGAAAGATTATGTAACTTTCTCAAGATTATATAATTAGTATATGAAAAGTTAAGACCTGTGACATGAATCCCTGTCAACATTCTTACCTCTGCACTACAGTATCCCAACTGGTATCTCAGTTTCACTAAAGCAACTGATAACATATTTACATTGCACTAGACAACTAGAAAAAGAAAATGTGCATTTACTTTAAAACACAGAAGTTTGGGAATTTCAACCCAGTTACACTCACTACTGGGTGATTAATATTTTATATTGCTTTATAAGCTCTAGAAAACAGCAAGTTTTTAACTGAAGGCTTGTGAAGATATACAACAGATAAATCTGACTAAACAAACCTAACTTACTTACTGAAGATAAGTAACCTTGTGGGTTCTTTGAGCCATGACTCCCCCTCATTCCTGTATGGATGCCCAGGGCCTGACATAATACATGACACCTCGCAGGAGCTCAATAAATTATTTGTTGAGTGAATAAATAAATAAATAAATAAATGTGATTTTCATTGCTAAGCTGTTAAAATTAGGTAAAAACCAAACCAAAACAAAACATAAAACACTAGCTACACAATCGTTCTGAAGACATGAATTAGATATACTAGGGCATTATACTAAAAAAAACTTGGGCATGAATGGCTACTGAAAATTTTAGAATTGAAGGCTTCTAAGCAATGGTTTTTAAAAATAACTAATGTAGGCTGGCTGTGGTGGCTCAGGCCTGTAATCCCAGAACTTTGGGAGGCTGAGGCGGGAGGATCACTTGAGGTCAGCGGTTCGAGATCAACCGGACCAACATGGTGAATCCCTGTCTCTCCTAATAATACAAAAAGTAGCCGGGCGTGGTGGCACGTGTTTGTAATCCCAGCTACCCGGAAGGCTGAGGCAGGAGAATTGCTTAAATCCGGGAGATGGAGGTTGCTGTGAGCCGAGATCACACCACTACATTCCAGCCTGGGCGGCTGAGTGAGACTCCGTCTCAACAAACAAACAAACAAACAAAAACAAACAAAAAACCAAAGAAACAATAACAACAACAACAAAACTACTGTGGACAACTGAGTGAAGATTTGATAACCTTATTCGGAAATCTAGAATAAAATATTTGGACGAATGTTAGTCAAGTAAAACTGAAAGGAAAACCTTACTGGACCATAAGTCTGAAAATACAACTTTTGCTTTTGACTCCACAATGATTTGCCCATTTAACCTTTCTGTTTTCTTATTTGTAATATGAAAAAGCATACCATCGTCAGGGGTTTTTATTTTAATACATAAAGGATACCATGGCAGCTCATCACTAAATATGGCTCCCAGTAGTTCCTACGGCTCTTCCCACACTGCTCCTCCAACAAGAGATGGAGTCTATTTCCCCTCCTTTCCAGCTGTGCTACCCTCCTGACTTGCCAGGAACAATAGAAAGTCGCAGAAGTGCTGCTTTGCCAGTTCTGGGCCTAGCTCTTAAGAGGACTGGCTGCTTTTTCCTTCCCGCTAGGTAGCCAGGTGCCATGCTGAACTAAAACTGGCTCTATGCTGAATAATGAGAGACAACATTGGGAAAGAGAGGCCACAGAAGAGCACTGAGAAGTCAGCTAGGAGGTTGAAGCCTTCTTGGAAGGTCAAGCCCAGCCCCACCTCCGGATGAAGCCAGCCACCACGTGAGTGACCTCAGCCTATTACTAGGTGGAACAGAAGCCACCTAGCCAGCACCTCCCTCGGTCCACAGAATCATGAGAAATAAATTGTTGTTGTTTCAGGCCACTAAGTTTAGTATGGTTTTTTAGGAAGCATTAAATAGATGGTGTATTTGAACCTTTGGAAGAGTCAAGCAATTTGGAAGCATCAAGCAATTTGGAAGAGTCAAGCAATGTGGAAAAATAACAGAATTTTCCTGAAAATGCAAAAGTCAAGAACCAGCTGCGTGTGGTGGATCATGCTACTTGGAAGGCTGAGGCGGGAGGATCACCTGACCTCAGGAGGTCAAGTTTGCAGTGAGCCATCATTGCACCACTGCACTCCAGCCTGGGCCACAGAGGGAGATCCTGTCTCAAAAAAAAAAAAAAAAAAAGAAAAGAAAATATCATAGTTAAGCAACTGTAAACAATTGGAAATACTGAAATATGATTAAAATACTACTACAATAATTGGCTCTTAAAATAGTTTATATTCCTGTTGAAAGTTAGACAAGGATGGTTCTTAGATTTTTTTTTTCCTTCCTGCCTGGAAATTGGTATCAGTGATGTTTATAAGAATAACATTACTCCCATGGGAATACACAAGATTATGCAAATTCTTACAATCATAAAAAAGTATATTGAAATACAAGTAATAAGGTTATCGATATCAATTCTAATTTTTATACATATAACTATACCTATTTAATAACTGCACCATTAACAACACATTCCCTTTCTTAGTATCAAATTACTTAAGTCACATGTCACAGATAAGCAATACCCATATGTTCAGATATTTTAGTTTAAGTTGTTTTGCCACTTAAATAAAGCTTGGAAAGATGATCTTGAGTTTTGTTCTGGATTTATTTTCCTTTGATTTATATGGGTATGATTGTCATTATTGTCATTACAAATATATTACTTATTTTTAAAATCTTAATTTCTGTTCCTCAATATATTTGGAAGTGAAGAACAGAATTCACTTGCCTTGTAAAGTTGTCATCTTTCTAATACAAAAATGAGAAGACTTTTTTTTTTTTTTTTGAGACGGAGTCTCGCTGTCGCCCAGCTGGAGTACAGTGGCACGATCTCGGCTCACTGCGAGCTCTGCCTCCTGGGTTCACGCCAGTCTCCTGCCTCAGCCTCCCCAATAGCTGGGACTACAGGCACCTGCCACCACGCCTGGCTAGTTTTTTGTATTTTTAGTAGAGACGGGGTTTCACCATGTTAGGCAGGATGGTCTCGATCTCCTGACCTCGTGATCTGCCCGCCTTGGCCTCCGAAAGTGCTGGGATTACAGGCGTGAGCCACTGCGCCCAGCCATGAGAATATATTTTTAATATGATAATTTGATCTAATGCTATACAAAACAAGGCTATGAGCTAAGCTTTTCAAAAATCTATAAATTATTTAAAAATATGAGCAGCAATTTTTTTCACAATATGACTTTTCTATGTAAATGAAACTTCCTTTTACAGGAGACAGCTGAAAGAGACTGAGAAGAAACATGATATTCATAAAAGGAAATTATGATTTTTTTTTAATCAAGGGGATAAAAAGTAGAGAACTTAACCTTTAAAGGAGTATTATGGTTAAATTTTAAAGAAATAAATATTCATTTTTAATGGTGTTAATTCACATATATGCTTTTTCTGGTATATACTTAAGATGAACAATATGGTTTTGATATACTTATATACAGTGAAACAGTTTCTACTGTCAAACAAATAAACATATCCATTCTCTTCTGTAGTTACCCTTTTTTGATGTGTGTGGTAAGAGCACCAACAATCTAGTCTTAACAAATTTCCAGTATATGGTGGGTATTATAACTAGAGTTTTCATATTGTATCTTAGATCTCCAGAATTATTCATCCTATATATCTGCAACTTTGTACCCTTTGTCTTACATCTCCCACTCCTTGCCCTTGATAATCACCATTTTATTCTCTCTCTCTCTTTTTCTTTTTTGATCTCATATATAAGTGAGATCAAGCAGTATTTTTTTTTTCTCTGTTTGGCTTATTTCCCCTATAGCATAGTATCCTCCAGGATCATCTATGCTGTTCCAAAATGGCAGGATTTCCTTCTTTTTAAGGCTGAATAATATTCCACTGCATAGATACATACCACAATTTCTTTATCCATTCATTGCTGGTGGACACTGAAGTTGTTTCCATATCATGGCTCTTGTGAATAATGCCACCATGACCATGAGAGTGCAAATATAATTTATGCTTTTTAAAATAATTAATTCCACATGCTAATTTCCTTAAAAATCAATCACAATGATATGGAAGATCATACCCTATTGAAATTCTTAGAGGTAGTCTATTTAAATAGAAATGTTTTTAAATGTGTATTGAAAATCTGCAATGTGTTAAATCCAAGACACCCACTTTCTATACTTTATCTTGTTTAATCTCATAATTCTTGGGGACAAATACTATTTACCACCATTTGAAAACTAAGAAAACTACAGTTGAAAAAGTTTTGTTGCAAAAGACCCAAGGTAAAACTACTAAGGGTCAGAGTAGAGTTTTAAACAAGAGTCAGCCTAGTTATAGTAACCATGGTTTTCTCAGTGTTTTACTGTACCTGGGTTACTGTTTTAAAAACTGCAGATTTGATTACACCGCAGGGCTCTAGAGCATGGCATTCAAACTTCTCTGTGATCTAGCATTATCTTCCCTTTTCCAGTTTTATCATGTTTGACCTAACCCCTTCTCCCATTCCTTCCTCAAACCTCCCACATTCTAGTGAGTTAAAGATGGATGAAGAGATAATTTCAGTAAAAGTGGTAGGTGCAATGACAAAGATACATTTAGTATATCCTTGGAATAAATGACATAACTAGTGGGAATGAGGATGAGAGTGAGGGGAGGGGCTTTCAGGGAAAGCTGATTTGGATCTTGGTGCATTGAAGGATGACTAAGTTAGTGAGATGGGCATTTTAGGCATAAAGCAGAACATGGGCAGAACACAAAATGGTGTGCTATATGCAAAAAAATACATTGCCTGTATCAATAAAACACACAATTCAAGGTAGCATGGTGAGGCAGGACAGACAGGCAGATATTAAGATCACAGGGGGTCTTCTGTACTGTGGGAAGGATTCTGGATGTATACTAAACAATGAGAAACTGTTAGGGAGCTTTTAAGAGAAAAAGCGGTAGGGTCAGATTCATTTTACGTGAATCACTCTGAAGCAATGTGGGAAATTAATTGTGTGTAAGGAAGTAGGCTGGTATTAAAAGTAAGGACAAGGAGACAGTTAACTATAAGACTAATAGTTTGATTAAGAGATGTACCTTAACTACTTCTATAGCAAGTTGTAGGGGATATAGAGAGGAGGGTAACAGAGCTGAAGATTATCCATATGCTGTTACTTTCCCCAAAGTCCAACAGGTGCTTCCATGAGATGATTTACTTTCTTCTGCTGGAAAACTCTATTTTTTACTGGTTTTATATGTACAACACACTTCACCAACAGTGCCTGAAAATCATTAGTAAACCACATCTATACTTCCAGAGGCAATAAGGTTGTCTTTGTGCATTACACAATATACACAATGGCAAATGGTTCTAGATATGGTTAGGAAAAAGACTTAGCATTTATGACTGGTAAATACAGAGGGTGGAGTGGAAGGATGACCAACAGTTGGCTTCATTAGTTAAATGGATGTTTTTGCTATAAATTGAGCTAAAGAATTTGGGTTAGGAAAAGTTTTAAATGCAGTTTGGGGTTCAGATAGCTTAAAATTCTTAAGGAATATCTTAGTGAAATATTTATTGGACATTGAATATGCATACATTTGAAACTCAGGGGAAAGGTCAGAGATACACTATGGAATGAGAAGAATAGCTGGCAAAAAAGTAGGATTAGGGAAACATCAAGATTTTTTTTTCTTTTTTTTTTATTATACTTTAAGTTTTAGGGTACATGTGCACATTGTGCAGGTTAGTTACATATGTATACATGTGCCATGCTGGTGCGCTGCACCCACTAACTCGTCATCTAGCATTAGGTATATCTCCCAATGCTATCCCTCCCCCCTCCCCCCACCCCACCACAGTCCCCAGAGTGTGATATTCCCCTTCCTGTGTCCATGTGATCTCATTGTTCAATTCCCACCTATGAGTGAGAATATGTGGTGTTTGGTTTTTTGTTCTTGTGATAGTTTACTGAGAATGATGATTTCCAATTTTATCCATGTCCCTACAAAGGACATGAACTCATCATTTTTTATGGCTGCATAGTATTCCATGGTGTATATGTGCCACATTTTCTTAATCCAGTCTATCATTGTTGGACATTTGGGTTGGTTCCAAGTCTTTGCTATTGTGAATAATGCCGCAATAAACATACGTGTGCATGTGTCTTTATAACAGCATGATTTATAGTCCTTTGGGTATATACCCAGTAATGGGATGGCTGGGTCAAATGGTATTTCTAGTTCTAGATCCCTGAGGAATCGCCACACTGACTTCCACAATGGTTGAACTAGTTTACAGACCCATCAACAGTGTAAAAGTGTTCCTATTTCTCCACATCCTCTCCAGCACCTGTTGTTTCCTGACTTTTTAATGATCGCCATTCTAACTGGTGTGAGATGGTATCTCACAGTGGTTTTGATTTGCATTTCTCTGATGGCCAGTGATGATGAGCATTTTTTCATGTGTTTTTTGGCTGCATAGATGTCTTCTTTTGAGAAGTGTCTGTTCATGTCCTTCACCCACTTTTTGATGGGGTTGTTTGTTTTTTTCTTGTAAATTTGTTTGAGTTCATTGTAGATTCTGGATATTAGCCCTTTGTCAGATGAGTAGGTTGCGAAAATTTTCTCCCATTTTGTAGGTTGCCTGTTCACTCTGATGGTAGTTTCTTTTGCTGTGCAGAAGCTCTTTAGTTTAATTAGATCCCATTTGTCAATTTTGTCTTGTGTTGCCATTGCTTTTGGTGTTTTGGACATGAAGTCCTTGCCCATGCCTATGTCCTGAATGGTAATGCCTAGGTTTTCTTCTAGGGTTTTTATGGTTTTAGGTCTAATGTTTAAATCTTTAATCCATCTTGAATTGATTTTTGTATAAGGTGTAAGGAAGGGATCCAGTTTCAGTTTCCTACATATGGCTAGCCAGTTTTCCCAGCACCATTTATTAAATAGGGAATCCTTTCCCCATTGCTTGTTTTTCTCAGGTTTATTTAAGGGAGATATAGAAACAGATTCCCACAAAAAGACCAAGAATAGAGAGGCAGAATGAGAATCGGGGACAAATGCTGCCAAAGAAAGCAAGGACAAGAGACTTACTAGTTGTCAATGTATCTCTTGGTCCAGGAAGTAAGACCAACTGAGAGAATCTTTCTTACTTAAATTTTAATCCCTGGCACATGTCTTGCCACCAAGAAGGTCCTCAGTCAATGTTTGCTGAAGGAATATACAAATAAACTGTTTTATATCATTTTGCTTTTGGAGAGAAGGTGGCAATGTGATGGAATAGAAAACAGTTATGGAAACACCTACAATGTACCAGATTATGTGTCAGAGAAGAGATAGTATCCACATTGTACTGATAGTAAACAAAAAAAAATCAAAGGACTTAAATGCAGCTTAACCCCTCAGTCAACAACTAAACCTAATTCCTGTTTCTAACGTAAGGGACCCTGGTTCTCCCATCTCTTCAGTTACTGACTAGTTTTTGACAAATAGGAAATCTCTTAATTTATATGCAATTTACAGGAAATTGGAATAGATGTTCTCCAATATCATTTCACATTCAAAACTGTTGTTTCCTTCATATTAGTCACAGTTCACATCCCTGATGTGTTTTCTACCTTACCAGACTTCAAATTTCCCAAACAAATATGGACTCAGTTTTTCGTTTCTGGAACTATATCAGAGAGTTTTGAAGATAACAGAAGCTCAATATTTATTTTTAACAAATAGACAAGTATTTTTAAAGTGATTTGTTATTAAACAGTTTAATTAGCTCAAACACTAAGAGAAGGCAGTTAACATAAGTCTCTTAGACTTGCAAAGAAGACAAAGGCTCTTACTTAAGTCATTACAAAAAGATCATCTGAAAACTAACATGACAGCTATCAATGATGAAAAAGCAGAAAACCAAACAAGAATGCCAAATGAACTGATTAAGGATTACTCTTAAAAGCTCCCCATATTCAGTATATTCATATCAGCAAGATGACACACATTGTTGAGTACTTAAATAACATCTTGATGCTGCACACCACTGCTATCAACTATACTTTTCAAAAATTTGAGAGAGGCGAAATGCCTTCACTGTGAAAGACCAGAAAGCAGACTTTATCTAAGATTTAACTGATCATCTTAAAGAGACACCACTGCAAATGTGAAAGTCAGCTTAGCTTTTATATGGAAGTCTGGAATACATCACACTAATCAATCAATTTTCAAACCTCTAAAAAGGTATCATGAGCTGTACTCATGCATTTTTTGAAGCACACCTATATAACATTTGTCTATGACAGAAATAGCATTTACAAATGTCCTGGAGTCAGAACACACAATATATTCAGAAGTGCTTAAGTCCTTCTATTCAACTTTATCTGATTGTATTACCAATAAGATTTTTTTTTAAGTTGCACATGGCTAATCCAGTGTGTCACTTACTTGAACCAGTGGCTCACTGTCAATCTGAAGAGATTTATAGGGTGGTGTCTGAAGGAATAAGTTCAATTGAGATATTGTTAATATCGCATTTAAGGAAAAATGGAAAAGTAAGAACATATCACAAAGGCTCACTGCCAGGAAGAAAGAAAAATGATTTGACCTATATGTAAATATGAGAATATGGTACTACAAATTTACCTATGATTTTTGAATATATAGAGAGAATACCAAATATCAAGACAAATATGTGTCTGATCTATGGGGTTAGAAAAGAAAAATAAGAAAGTTTAAGGAATTCCAATTTCAGCTTATAGAAGAGAAATATGGAGAACAGAATACTAACAATTACATTTCAATGTATTATTCGGCATAAAAAATTAGTTGTCATCTAACAGCTGTCATCACTCAAATACAACCCTTCTACAATTTTGCTCCTGGCTAGCTCTTAATCATCCTTCTATCTTAGCTTAATTGTCACTTTCTCAATCTGGTGCTCTCTGCAGTCCTTTCTCATAACATCTTATTATTTTTCTGTAGAGCACTTATTACAACTTGTAATTACTTACTATTTACTTTTATGTATTAAGCAGCTACCATAAGCCAAATACTGTGCTAGGTAAATGATGTACTTTCTCCATCACTGAGTTGTAAGCTCAAAGCGGGCAAGCACTATATTTTCATATAGTCCAATATACTAAGGCCAAGTAAAATGAATGAATAAGTGAAGGAAGGATGAGACGGAGGGACTTACTTTCTTTCTGATAAGGACAAGAACAAACTATAATCATTTAATGAGTGTGTGTGCCCCAGGAAGTATCAGACATTTATAGTTGTTTAATTCCCCCATCCACATGGAGTAGACAGTATGATCCTCATTTCATCAAACAATAATTTGAGGATTAGAGAAGATAAGTTACTAGCCCAAGGTCAACAGCTGATGATTGGTTAAAGCAAAATTCACACCGAAATATGTGCACTTTAACACCAATATATTTGCTCTCTATCCTACCGCCTTTCTAGATCTAGAATTTCATGAAAATATACATGTGTCAAGAGGCCATTTCAAGAGTCTGTTATTTCCCTGACAGCACATTATCACTTGAAAGAACAAGCATTAAAATGCTTCCCAGGTTCTGCTGGGAAAATAGGTAATTTTTGATTATTAATGTTTTCCAATTTTATTTACTCTCAATATGTACACTATAAAAAACATTAGTTGATGATTATAAAACAAATCCTGAAACCTTTTATCAGATATTATTTCAAAGCATTTTAAGAAATAACATTGTTTTAAGAGTAAGCTTTTCTCATTTAAAAATATCTTTGTATCAAAATTATACGTGTATCTTTAAAAAATTAAACCAACTTGTGTTTTACATGAACAGAGACATTAAGTTCAAAAAGTCATAAATATACATTTTAATTATTTAATATGATTCCTGAATATTTTGTTCTTTTAAAAATATGCATCCCTCTATGTACTTCCAGGGGTTTCATTGTATTTAAAAGGAGCAGTGGTTGTTTTTTTAATCATAAAGAAATCTCATAGCCTTTTATTCCATGTAAAGCTGTTCCCAAACACATTATTTAACTGATGTGCATTACAGAAAATATTTTGCTTTGGAAACACTTCAAACAAGGCAAATTCCACAGGAGACAGGGCTACTGACTAACACATCACAGCGGTATGACCTCTTGACCGAAACTTTTCTGAATGTGCATCACAAAAGACCCCTGACACCTGTCATTTTTAGAGATTAATAAAAAATTTCTAAAGAATACCACAATGCTGCTTGAGTAGAAATAGAAGAAATTATATACTCATATTTCAACAAATTTTACACCTTTCCCTCAAGCTATATATTTGAATTCTGATCTGTTCTTATTCATTTTAAAATCCAAAAAACTTGTCATACTAATGTGGCAGGCCTGATTAAGTTCATCACTTTCCTAGCCTGTCTCCAACACAAATGCAATTTTCATATGCCTAAAGAACAAATCCTCCACATCAGGCATCTTATACCTTCCCTGAGTAAGCCAAGCCCATTTTAATGTTTTGAATAAAAGTATGCATAGAGGAAGGACATATGTTTTTGGTTAAGTGTATCAGAAAACCTGCAGAAATCATATCAACATAATGGCATTGAGTTTCAAAGCTAGTGTTTGCTTACAAAACTTACTGATATTTGCAAATGAATAATTTAATGGAAAATCTGAACATCTGCAATTAGCTAAAAATCTAGAATCTGGAATCAGGCAGAATACTTTTTCATATATTTAATTTTATATTAATTTGCAATTTAGTACATAAATGCATACCTGGATGTCATGTATATGTATGATTATAAAGTGAACTGTATTTTTAATAATAGGAAGGCCTTCTTAATAGAATAATAATGACATTTATATGGATTCATTTGTAAAGTAAATTTTTGCAACATAAATCATTTCTGTTAATCTAGGTTTACTTATTTCAGACTTAATGGAATACAGGTAGATATGCATATAGCAATTTCAAAGGTATATAACACTTTTGAATACAGGTAAAATTATACGGATTGAGGTTATAACCAATTAAACCTAGGTAGCTGAAGTGAATTACTTATATCATTGGCAAAGTAGGGACTAAAACTATGCATTCTATGCTGGAATACTGGTGAGTATTCAAGATTCTATTCAAAGAGAGGTTAGTGATGATAAATGAAGGCTGAACAGTGGCTCAGGTTCACAGAATGACCCATCCATCTGTCAGATACATACAGTTTCTAGTACTTTTAGGACCAAAACTCATCTACTTTGCAGAAAAAAACGGTCTTAATGGGAACCGTGTTTTGGGGGCAGGGAGAGTGGGATATGTACAAGTGTGCATTACACTGATTATTTACATTTAAATATAATTGTGAAGTAAAAGTTGGCATTTATGGAAATAAAGCATTATTTGTATTTTCAATTTAAAAATATATGAATACAACATTTTATACATTTTAGTTTTTTTATAAAACAATACTTGCACAAATATAAGCCATACTTAACCTTGATATTTTTAGATCCTCTATCTACTTAAAGAAACTTTACTTACATATATTTAAATTCCTAAAATATATTTTTTAAATAATGTGAACAAAATAATAATGATAGCAAACACATATATATAGTTCTAAATGTGTCATTGTTCTACATTATAACTCATTTAGTTCTCACAACAATGCTGTGGGGACAATACTATTATTATTTACATTTTGGAGATGAGGAAACTGGGGCATCAAAGTTGAAAAGAAAGCATACTACTACTATTAAAATGCTTGCAGATAATGGCTAAAATATGCAATTTGTAATATTTTCCCTGTAGTTTTCTAATATTTCAGTAAATATTCACCAAAAATGTTCCATTCCAGTTTTTTCACAGCATACACAATTTTATCCTGCTCTGTTTCTGAAAGAAGTTTAACAATCTAATCACTGTACTATAAAATAAAACTTTTAACTTTCTAAATTCACCTCAAAAAATAAAATTGCAATTATAAGAAAATGGCAGGAAGGTTTGTGGTACTAATTAAATACCGAGTTTACCCTCACAAACTATGAATATGGCACTGTGTGTAAAGCTGCTTGTCAAATGGCCATTTCTTATCTAGAAAGTGGAATGGCTAAGTAATTGTATATTTCTCTATAGCTGTACTACCAAATATTAACATGAAAAGGCTAGCGGCACCACTATGGGTGTAGCAGGAAAGGACAACATCAGGAATAGAAAAAGGCATTAACTTAACTTTAAATTTCATTTTTCCCTGTTTAAATTAGATTTCTTACATTATTTAAATGTAACTTTATTACATTTACTATATTATGGTGACACTTGAAGTACAGCTATTGTATGAGTCTGCCTGCGCCCCAGGTACAATATAAACTAAAGCTTATAACTCAGCTTTGAAAATTAGCTCATGAATCAAAGGAGATATAAAGTCTAAGCTTCAAAACCCATCTTTATTTACCAGATTTGCAAGAAATCCATTTGGATTTTATTAATATCAGTAGTTATTATAAAAAATCAAATTTTGATTTTCTTTACACTCTTAACTATTCCATTTGCTAGAGACTGCGTTTCTCAGCTATTTATACCATGCCACAACAATTACAACTAAAATACAAATCATAAAATTACCAATAATGGGTTTTAAAGGCATTTCCCCCTCCAAGTTCAAAACATACTATATGGACGTTGCAATGAACTTGGCCACTTAAAATTTATTTTATACTCAATCTATAAGTGACAGTGAACAGATTAAATACATTTTTAAGGAACAATTTATGAAGGTTAACCTATCTTAAACTTTTTTTTCATCTGCTAGAAATCACTCTGAAATGTTTCATTCCAGCTCTCAGATGCATTCATTCATTTGCATTCAACAAAATTTATTCTGCATCTACCATATTCAAAACTCTGAAATAGAACTTGGAAAAATGGTCCTTCCCAGAGTAAATGAATGTGAAACAAATAATTGCATGTTCTGAATGTTATAAAAGGAATCTACCCAAGATGGGTATGCATTTGTGTATGGGTCGGGGGTAGGTAGATAGAGACTCCCCGAAATGACTTTAAATCTCAGATTCAAAATATGAATAGGAATTCCACGTATGAAGAGTGAGGGTTAGGGAGCTGGGAGATAGGAGTAAAATGTTAGCGTGGGGTACTTGTGATCCAGGAAGAAAACAGCTTGTTAGGAGATCTAAGGGAGATAAGAGAGAAAGAGAGAATTTGGCTAACTGGAATTGCAGAAAAAGGTTCAATTTGGCTGCAGCAGCAAGAGAATGGGACAAGATAAGGGAGAAATGAGGCAGGAGAGGTAGCTTAGGAGTGGCCCAGTCATGGGAAACTCTATAAGCCTTGCTAGGCACAGTGGCCTTTATAAGTATCGAAGGGTGCGAAGTATCTTCTGGGTGCTTACCCAGAAAAATAGGGACATGACATGCCCAAATTTGGATTTCATAAAGATCATCTGGCTATAGAGGGGAAACCAGACAGGAGAGGCTATTGATGTTATTAGATAAGAGAGAGATGTCAAACTGGTGACGGCAATTCGGACAGTGGGAAGCAGCAAAATCAAAAGATATTTAGGAGGTAGAATTGAAAATGATTGGTAATAGATTGAATATGGGGATTGAGGGAGTGAAAGGAGACAAGAATCCTAGCTTGCTTTCTTCATTTGTGGAGTAGACTAAAGTGCCACTTAAAAAGATAGGAGGCCAGGTGCCATGGCTCATGCTTGTAGTCCCAGCACTTTGGGAGGCCGAAGTGAGTGGATTGCTTGAGGCCAGGAGTTCGAGATCAGCCTGGCCAACATGGTGAAACCCTGTCTCTACTAAAAAAAACAAAAATTAGCCAGGTGTGTTGGCATGTGCCTGTAATCCCAGCTACTTGGGAGGCTGAGACAAGAGAATCACTTGAACCCAGGAGGTGGAGGCTGCAGTGAGCTGAGATCACCCCACTGCATGCACTCCAGCCTGAGCTACAGAATGAGACTCTGTCTCAAAAAAAAAAAAAAAGAAAGAAAGAAATAGAGATAAACCAAAAACATTGCGGGGGATATGAAATTATTAAATTAGAACACTGTTGTTAATGCAATTTTTATTTTGCATTGATGGGTTTACTGGCATATCTTTTAATGGGAGGTGGGTTTTAAAATTCTCTTAGAGCTATAATATTGGTATATTTAAAGAGTATATAAAGAATGATTATATATAAATCAGCTTTTTAAAAAAGTATGATCTCAGTTTTACTGTTTACATTACCCATTGTGTTAACAAGACTCATTTTCACATATTTTATATTAATAGATTATTAGCTCCAAGAGTGGAGGTATTAATTTTGGCTGTTTTATTTACTCTCTATACATAAGTTTCTGAATAGTGTCAGAAACTTACTAGATCCTCAATAAATGTTTGATGAATGAATGAATGATAAAATATATAGTATAATTAATTATGGTAGTATAATTATAAGAAGTAACTCAGAGGCAAATATGAATGTTACTAAATAACTTGATGATATAACGACATTCCTAAACTTGCTTTGCAGGGACTTTAGAATTGTAATTAAATTATCAAAGCCTATAAAACTTCTTTGACATCATCTGAAGAAATGGGAATAAAAATGCTTATGACAAAAATCTACACATTTTAAAATGATGTTAAAAGTGCTCTAAAAATATCAGACTTATGATATCTTTTTAATATTAAAAAGCAAAAAAACTAGTTAATCATATTACAGACTAATTAATTCAGTATATTATATGAGTCAGAATGAAGGTGAATTTCTAATTACAGTACCAGATTGGCTATTACATTGTCACACACATAGTTCTCTACAACTGAATGGGACCACTGCTCATTAAAGTAGAATGAGAAGCCTTCTTTAACATCTTGATAGAGTATCATGCACTTAATTAAATCAGATGTGTTATCTGAAGGTAATTTCTTAAACTATTTGAGAATTACTATATACATCAATACATATGTAGAAGAATAGGATTATACTATTAAATATTATAATTTTGTATGATCTTGTATAAAATAAAGCTTAAATTAGAAACTGTGTATATTGTTTTCACATTATTAAAATGGGGCTAATTTTGATACTTAATCCCAGTCTGCATAATCTGCAATTTTTCTTTCATTTTAGAAGACCATGTACATAGTTGAAAACTAGTTGGTATCCCACAAAGTAGGATATGAAGCACAGTTTCAGCTTTGCAGCTGCTCAGCTTTTTATTCTACAATCTTTGATTTTAAATAAAATCCAAATTTGGACTCACTTAGAAACACAACACACTAAAAACAGACATAAAAGGAAATGAATTGTAAAGTTGGAGTTGATCCTAAGTTACATACTGTTGAGGGCCAATTTATGTCTTGTTTAGCAAAGGGTCACCATAACACTTTTAAGGCTTGACACCTACAGCAAATCTCTTGTTATTTACAGGGAATAAAAAGGCACAAACTCATTTTCTTAATAAGCTTCTTCAGTTCTTCAAATAGTTCTAAGAAATGACAAGGGCTTGCCTTAGTTAACAAGTACACAGATAATCCAAAGTACAGCAGTGTCAGATAAATAGTATCTGATCCCCAAAGATGCCATTGGTGGGATTTTAGCAGCTATAGAAATGTACGAGGTATGAAGTTTAGCAATTCTTACAGTTTTGAGCAAGGTAAAAGAGTCAAAATAGTTGAATAGAAAAAAAAAAGCCACTGGCTCTAAAAAAATGGAAACTTTATTTTCCATGTGCTAATTGGGCTTCCAGAGGAACACACTATTTTCTTCTTTAAATTATGTGTAATTTTCTCCAAAATAAAGAATGCATGATAACTGTAGAAACTAAAAAATGTAGAACAAGAAAAAGTTACCCCTAGCTTGGTTACCCAGACATAACCACTATTAAGAGTTTTCCCATTCTTTGTTCTTTGAACTTTTAAAATGTTAACTGTAATCATGCAGTACATATTAACTATATAGAACAAATTAATTAAATATCTATTTTCCTGATTTTAAAACTGTTATACAGAATTTGAAATATACAGTCATCAATCTTAAAATAAACATTATATAAATATTTTTGAGTCCTTGTTCTCAGTCTAGGACTTATACATGCTGTTAGTATAATTTAATGCATCATAGAGAAGTCAGTACTTGCACAATGGCATAAAAACAGTAATTCTTTTGGAAAACAATTCATATACCAATTAATAAAGCTGTACTAGTGAGAAAGAAAGGATAAGTCCAATCTTGAGGACGAAGTATTACTAACATGGCTTAGCAGAAAACTAAGAGTGAGGCTTTACAACCAAGTGCTATAAAAATCACCACCACACTTGTGGTTGTGGAAATCACTTGTGGTGATTTCAAGAACTTGAGAAGCTCAACTTGACACAGTACTTCTGAATGTCATTCCATGTTCAGCCAGCCCTTAAAATCCACATGCAGATTAAGTGTCCTATGTTTTTCAGCCTTTGTCTGTGTCTTGGTGAGATTTCAAAAAGGACTGTGGAAACCGAGAGTCAAGAGTAAGGCACAGATAACTTCTCATGTTTATTTGACATAATTCGGCATCTATTATACATACAGTGATCACTAATCACTTGCATTTATAGTGACACTAGGTTCTTTTGAGGATACAAAGGCAGATGACATATGTTTTAGCATTGGCCTCAAACATCTTACATTCTAGCTTAGGATTTAAAACGTGAGTAAAAAATGTATGGTGGCAATGTAAATTAGTTCAGCCATTGTGGAAAGCAGTTTGGCAATTTCTCAAAGAACTTAAAATAGAATTGCCATTTGATCCAGCAATACCATTATTGGGTATATACCCAGAGGAATATAAATCATTCTGCCATAAAGAAACATGCATGCATATATTCATCTCAGCACCATTCAGAATAGCAAAGACATGGAATCAACCTAAATGCCCATCAACAGTAAAATGGAAAAAGAAAATGTGGTACATACACACAATGGCATACTATGCAGCCTTAAAAAGAGTGAGATCATGTCCTCTGCAGCAACATGGGTGGAACTGGAGGCCATTATCGTATGTAAACTAACAGAGAAACAGGAAACCAAATACTGCATGTTCTCACTTATAAGTGGGAGCTAAACACTGAGTACATATGGACAAAGTTGGGAACAACAGACACCAGGCCTACTTGAGATAGAGGGTGGGAGAAGGCTGAGAACTAAAAAACTATCTATAGGGTACTATGCTTATTAGCCAGGTGATGAAATAATCGGTACACTAAAACGCCGTGACACACAATTTACCCATATAACAAACCTGCACATGTACCCCTGAACCTAAAATAAAACTTTAAAAAAAAACTGTTCAGAAAAGGAAGTGATTGTCAGTACAAGTGAGAAGAGATGCATATTTGTATCAAAGTCAAGATATGTCAGGACTAATAGAATAAATCGCATGTGCCTTTTTTGTATTCTTTTTTAAAATTAAAGAATGCATAACGTGAGACAAAATTAATTTTATTCTTTACTATTTTATTAGTACAGATCTGTAAGAGTTATCTTTAAATATTGTAGAGACAGTACATATGTTATATACTGAGTGTTTGCACATAAAATGCCTGATTTATTTGAAAACATTTTGAAAAGTTTCAGGGCACAGGAGAGCATATGTCCTTTAATGATCACACAATGTGCATTTCATCATCTGACCTACCATAAGGATGTGGGTATGAACTGTGGGTTGAAGCCAAAGGACTACCATAAAGGCAGTTCTTTGCTCTTCTGATATTCTTACTTGGAATAATCCTTTACACTTGGAATTGGAGTTTCCTCTTACTCTGTTTTAACTCACTCACATAGATTGCCACTTGCTGCATGCAAAGAAGTGTCAATTCTATCTTTGATCTGGATGACATTAAAAAATACAATGGAATTATGTCACCATTTTTTTGGCCTCTCTCTCTTTATATAAACAGCTGTATTGAGGTACAACTTACATACCATAAAATTCACCCGCTTTGGCTGGACATGGCTGCTGACGTCTGTAATCACAACAACTCGGGAGGTCCAGAGGTCCAGACAGGTGGATCACTTGAGCCCAGGAGTTTGAGGCCAACCTCAGCAACACGGTGAAACCCCATCTCTACTAAAAATATGATAGCCAGGCATGATGGCATGTGCCTGTAGTCCCAGCTACTCAGGAGGCTGAGGTGGGAGAATCACCTGAGCCCAGGAAATTGAGGCTGCAGTGAGCTATGATTGCACCTCTGATCTCCAGCCTGGGCAACAGGAGTGAGACTCTCCCTGTCTTAAAAACAGAATTCACCCATTTTCAATGTACAATTCAGTGTTTTAAGTAAATTTACAGAGTTGTGCAATCATTACTGCAGTCCAATTTTAGAACATTTTCCATCACTCAAAAAAAAAAAAAAATCCCTCTTGCCCGTTTGCAGATACTGCTCCTTCTTACCTCCGGCCCCAGGTAACCACTAATCTTTCTGTTTACATCAGTTTGCCTTTTCTGAAAGCTTCATACAAATAGAATTATAAAATATCTGGCTGGGCTCACTTAGCAAAATGTTTTTAAAGTTCATGTATATTGTGGCATATATCAGTGCTTCATTCCTTTTTATTCCTGAATAATATTTGTTTTGTAATACCTGTTCACCAATTAATGTACATTTGTGGTATTTCCAGTTTTTTGCTATTATAAGTAATGCTGCTATATATCCTTTATAAATATATGTAAATAAGTGTTTCCATTCCTCTTGCATAGATACATAGGATTATAATTACTGAGTAACATAGTGGAGGCTTAATTGTTAAGATACAGCCAAACTATTTTCTAAAGTGGTTGCACCATTTTACATCCCACTAAAACTAATGAGAGTTCCTGTTTCTCCATGTTCTTGTCAACACTTGTTATTGCCTGTCTTTTTTTACTGTAGCTATTCTTGTAAGTATAAAGTAGTATCTCAGTGTGGTATTAATTTACATGTCCCTAATGACTAATGAAGTGGAACAGTTTTTCATTTACATGCCTCTTGCCCATTCATATATCTTCTTTGGTAAAATATCCATTCAAATACTTGGCTTATTTTAAATTGGGTTGTCTCAATAGTGAGTTGTAAGTGCTCTTTATATAATTCTGTATTATCACAAATTTTAGAGAAATTGCTTATTTGAATAGAATATATTCCAAGGAGCTGAATATAAAATGAATAAACTGAAGGCTGCTATTGTATTTAAAGCTGTGATTATTTATTTAAAATCATTGACGATTTGTGAACTAAGAAATGAGTGGACATTCCACTCCAATTTTTTTTTTTGAGATGGAGTCTCCCTCTGTCACCCAGGCTGCAGTGCAGTGATGTGATCTTGGCTTATTGCAACCTCCGCCTCTTGTGTTCAAGCGATTCTGCTGCCTCAGCCTCCCCAAGTAGCTGGGACTACAGGCATGCACCACCAGGCCCAGCTAATTTTTTTTTGTATTTTTAGTAGAGACGAGGTTTCACCATGTTGGCCAGGCTGGTCTTGAACTCTTGATCTCAGGTGATCCACCCGCCTCAGCCTCCCAAAGTGCTGGGATTACAGCTGTGAGCCACCACACCCAGCCGAACATTCCGATTTTTTATTTGATCATCATTGTAACCATTACAGTGACTAGTTTTATTACTTATGTACACATGGATAAAAAACAGGACATTTATTGGAGTTAGAGTCAATAAAATTATATATGATATTTTTAGGCAGTAATCTGCCCAAGCCTGTGCATCTTGCTGTGCCATATTTCAATAGCAAAGGTTACATTTTCTAAGAATTTCTAAGATTATTATGGATCAAAATAGAAATTTCTTCATCCATTCCATGTTTCTTTTCTTTTCCTTCTCTTCTTTTTTTGGTTCTATTCCTGCTCACTTCTGACAACAGGTAATTTTGATAAATTATCATTGTGATTGTTATTGTTATTTGTTATCACAAGTAGTACTGATGTACAGTAGGATCAAGCTTAGTCTCTGTAGAATAGCCATGGATGATATATGGCAAAGTTACTAAATTTTATAAGCAGAGTTTTCTGAACTAAATACTACCAAATTTCAGCCAATGGATTACTTAAGTCACATGAAGAAAAATCAAATTTAAATAAATATAACAATTTAGATTGTTCTATGGATATTTCTGAATTAGTTTTATTGAAGAGGGTCATTTTCTGATCTCAGAACACACTCCATCATACAAAATATCTAACACTATATGCCAATAACTTTAAGGCTTTCAAATAAATTAGTGATAATATAACGACTTCAGGAACAAGTCATTTCCATAATATGAGGTGAAAAATAGAAATAAGTGAAATGACTGGCTACATGAATGAGATCTGAAGTTTTCACTCATACATTATAGTAGCCCAAAAAGGGGGATATATTTGAATTATAGCAGTGGAATTTTATTGACTATATTCATCAGAAATAATTACATGTTTTAATTATTTAAGTAACTATGAACTTTGCCTATGAAACAATATGATGGAAATGTACTGTCTTTAAAAGGGTATAGGATTTAGTGTCAGAAGCTTGAGTCTGTCTTACTAGCTATGTGACTTTGAACAGATGGTTTAATCTTTGAGTCTCAATACTATAATCTATAAAATGGGGATCATAATAAGAGCTGCCTACCTCACAGTGCTGTCCTAACCATTATATTAATGTATTAAAATTATTCCATAACTGTTAAAAGTCATATGAATGAGTTTTTGTTATTAGAATTACTCGAAGATAGGTTTCTACAAATGCTGGTGATTTGGGAGGTGAGAGGATCTATTATGTAAGCAACCATCTTTACTGGGCATTTCCTGTCAAAGATAAACTATAAAGCTCCTATTACAAAATAATATTTTAAGATAATGTAGGCCAGGTGTGGTGGTTTATGTCTGTAACAGCAGCACTTGTGGAGGTCAAGGCGGGCAGATCTCTTGAGCTCAGGAGTTCAAGACCAGTCTGGGCAACATGCCAAAACCCTGTCTCCACATACACACACACACACACATCTATATACACACAAAAAAAATTAGGAGCTAGGCGTGGTGGTGCACACCTGTAGTCCTAGCTACTCAGGAGGCTAATCTGCGATGATGGCTTTAGCCCGGAGGTGGAGGTAGCAGTGAGCTAAGATCACGCCACTGCACTCCATCCAGCCTGGGTCAAAAAAATAAAATAAATAAATAAATAAATAAATAAGATAATTTACACTTAACACAATGCTGTTTATTGTTGCTATAATACCACGTTTATATTTGATTACATCATTAGAGTATTTTTCCTCAAAAAAATCTGAAGTAATGATTAATCAACTAGAGATGTCTGAATTTGAAGATTATTCTTATGCACCCCCAATTACAAAAATATATAAAGCTTTAGCTGCTCTACAGATACAAACCGGAGAGGCTCAGGAAGGTTATGTTAACATGCCAAAGTTCATAAAATAAGACTGAAATACTACTACAAATCCATATCCGACATAATAGAATAATAAAATTTTAGAATTTTGAAGTTGGGAAGGATTTTCAAATCCAGCCAACTCATTTGAAAACAGAGGTCCAGAGAAACAAATTTCCTTATCCAAGGTCATCTTGGAATGAGAAAAATTTAATATATGACAAGAGAATGGATCTCCAATTTATATGACCTCACACATAAGTAATAAACTAAATTAATTTATACCAAGGTACTTTGTCTTTTTAAAATTATTAATTTACTGAAATCATTACACATTCACATACATTAGACTTCTTCAACTATTTTAACTTTAAAAACAAAAATCTAACAATGTCTTCTCAGATCACATTAACATCTACTTCTGTGTTTTAAAATCAAGCTATATTTGTCACTCTAATACTCTGGCAGTCATTGGGTAGCAACTGACTAGGCTACAATGGGTTTGTTTGAGGTTAAGTATTATATTTTATATTGGGCATCTGAAATCAAAATAGAAGGGCATTAGGAATATGGATTAACTATGGAAACCAACACGTAAATTCATTTTTTATTCTAGCTGTGACTTTAAGACATTTATTTTTTTCTGTGCACAGTTTTTAATTTCCAAATTATTCTTCAGCAAATTTCTCTTTGAAATGAATTAAATTATGAATGGGAAAAATTCTACATAATGATGTTATCTTGACTAACGAAACACATATATTCACTTCTTATTTCTCTGTTTCAAAACTAGTTGTTATAATGAATATATTTTTATTGTTATTTTATTTATATTTTAAATATATAAATATTTCCATAGGATAATATGACTTTAAGGATAGGCATATGGGTTTTCTTCTGTGAATTAAGCAGACATATGAATAGCACACTTTAAAATTTATGACACCTGCTAACATGCACCTGATGGGTGATGTGTATCAGTGCTTTCCAAGAGGCCCTTCTCTTTTATAGGGGACCTGCAGAACAGAAGAATTAACAAAACACTTGAATTGGGGTCTATTTCTGAGACTTGGTTGGATTGTTTATAAAATTTAAGGCAGAACCAAACATAACTAGAAAAAGATAGCTAATCTAGGTCCAAATGAAGCTACAATGCCTCAAACCTAACTCCACGGACTTCTAGATTGTAGACTAATCATTTCCAGCAGAAATAAAATGTGATCCATGTAGTTAATTTCTAATGTTGTAATAGACAAATTAAAAAAAATAAAAACAGGTGAAATGGTTTCAAATAATATATTTCATTTAACCCAATATATTCCAGAATATCACTTTAATGTAATCAGTTATAAACATTATTTATTGAAATATTTTACATTCTCCCTTTTGTACTAAGTCTTCATAATCCAGTGTGTATTTTACACTTAAAGCACGTCTCAATTCAGAATAGTCACGTTCATGTGTTTAATAACCATGAACTGAACTGAACTGAACTGAGCAGAACTGAGCAGACCTACAGACTGAGTCTGTAGTGAAGATTCAACCAGAGCAGGCCTGTGCAGGTGCTCTACAGGTCGGTCTACAAGGACATGAAATGAGATGGTAAGGGTACTCTCTCTTCCTTCAGCCAGTTTGGTTGGGATACTTACATATTTGACTATTAAAAACCATATGAGGAAAAAGCCTTTTATTATTAGTAAAAATAGTAATAATTCTTACAGTTAATTTTATTGAACACTTACATGTGTAACACTCTACTAATCTATTAATGTTCACTTACTCCTCACAATAGTCTTGTGAAACAGGGTTTATTCTTATCTCCATATTACATAAGATGCCTGGTAGAAAGACTTCACGGAAGTACTGCAATCGGTTATTGCAAATGTGGTTTCTTAATAAAGGAAAAAAGTAATATTTCCATGATAATAGCAAACTACTAAAAAGAGGTAACGATCATCTAAGGCGCTGCTCCATGTACACTTGGAAGACTTTGGGAAACACCTGCTGCCTAAATAAAACAAAGATTCTTACAAACTACAAAGGTATATTTTAGTGCCATATTTAGCATTTCATAAGAACACAAGATTTGGAAAAGGTGCATGAAAATAAAGAAACACTTAAATCACACGTAAATCACTTCCACTGACAATGTGGCATATGTCAATAAATACTAAAAATCAACCACAATAAAATACCTCAGTCCACAAACAGTAAAAATCACATGAGAGACAAATGCTAAATTAAAAAGGTCAATAAATTGAAGGCTGATCATACAACACTGCAATGTAAATAAAGAATGAATAAGTTTTCATAAAACTATTTCTTCTAATTATCAGTCTAAATATGAGGATCATTTGTAGAAACTACCATAAAAAGATATAGAAAATAAAATTACAAACTAAGCTAATCGAAATAATTAATGTGTATTTTCTCATTATCTGGTACCATTTAGGTATATGTTTATTATAAGCCAGAGTAAGGAAATGCCCTCTCTACTTTTACTTTGATCTAGCTAACTTCTACTCATTCTTCAAATCCTCCAGCCTTTTTTGACCACCCCCTCTACTACCATCACTCTTCCTCTGTTGTATCTCTCAAAGTAACGTTTATATATCCTTTGAAGCATCTGTCACAGTTACAATTTCATATTTATGTATGTGATTATTTGCTGTCTATTCCCTGCTAGATTGGTGTCCATTTCCTGCTAGACAGTTAAGTTTTATGAAGGCAAGGGCCATGTCAGTTTTTGCTCGGTATTTTATTTGCTGTCTAGCAAAGTGCCTAATACACAGTAGGTATTAAATAAATACTTATTTAGTAAATTAATAAATTTGCTAAGAATTTTATATCAATAATTTTACTCCTAAAATAATTACATTAATTATTTTTATTTAGGCACTTTGCTAGACAGCAAATAAAATACTGAGCAAAAACTGATATGGCCCTTGCCCTCATAAAACTTACTGTCTAGCGGGGAATAGACACCAATCTAGCAGGGAATACACATGAAATAATCACATACATAAATATGAAATTGTAACTGTGACAGATGCTTCAAAGGAGATATAAATGTTACTCTCAGGGATACAAAAGACGAAGAGTGATAGCAGTAGAGGGGGTGGTCAAGAAAGAAAATAAATTAATAATTATATTAATTATTTTTACCTCCAATTCATAAAGAAAATGAATCCTGGGTTCAGTGATTTGCCCAAGACTACATAGCCAATAATTAGTATTGAACTCAAGAAGTTTGATTCTTTTAATCACCTTTCAAAACCCAAGCCTTGCTTTTTTAAATTTTTCCCAATGCTTCACAGTACATGAAATACACGTATTATTGAGTTTGCACCTTGAATTAATTTCTCCTTTTCTTTTTCTTCACAGCCTCTACCTAGGCCAAACTATGGTAAATTTGTATTTCAAAAATATAAATCTGCCATCATTTTCCACTAAAAAAAATCTTTAACGGCTATCTAACACCTGCAGAATGAAAGTCAAAACTTCTGACAGCCGGGCACAATGGCTCACGCCTGTAATCCCGGAACTTTGGGAGGCCAAGGTGGGCGAATCACCTGAGGTCAGGAGCTCGAGACAAGCCTGGCCAACATGGTGAAACCCCGTCTCTACTAAAGATACAAAAAATTAGCCGGGTATGGTGGTACGTGCCTGTAATCCCAGCCATTCGGGAGGCTGAGGCAGGAGGATCTCTTGAACCTGGGAGGCAGAGGTTGCAGTGAGCCAAGATCACGCCATTGCACTCCAACTTGGGCAACAAGAGCAATACTCCATCTCAAAACAAACAAACAACAAACTAACTTCTGAGCACAACAAACAAGATCCTCCAGGATCTATATCTAGCCTACCTATTCCAACCTCATCTCCCAGTTACTCTCCCAATAGTCTTTGTATGAAGTGCATCCAAACACTGAATGGTCCTCAATATTCTGCACTTTTTACACCTTCCTGTCTTTGTGTACCCTTTTCCTTCTACCTAGAATTCTTTCTACCCTTTTTCTGCCGATTGATCCTCTCTCTTCATGAACAATTAAAATGCCCTTCCTAAAACCTTTCTTGACAATTTAGACTGAGTCTGTCCCTCCTCTTCAAGGCCTCAAAGCACATCTACCTCTATCATGGCATGACTATCTTCTGTACTGAAGGCTGGGGAAATGCTTTCAACAACCATTTATTTTCAATCATAGTGAAAAGTGATTGGTTTATAGTTGTTGAACCTAATGAATAAGCAGATATGAATTTCCAAATTCCACATTCACAATTGAAGTTAAGGCAACTTCCGTTATGGAAGCATTATGAGAGAGCTGATTCAGTTATTGAGCAGAGTTTTGCAATAAGGTGGGACATTTTGGGATATGCTATAACAAGGAGGATGGTTGGGTTCTCCATGAGCCATGTGAAATTTTAAGAGACAGACGAAAGATTTTTCTTAAAATGTATATGTTAATTGGAAAGAATGGCCTTTGTATTTTATCATCAATAAAATTACAATTAATTTCCAAGGATTATGCACATACATCAGAAAAACATTCCAGGAAATTTTAATAAAACATGTAATACAGAAAATATATATTTATGGAAAGTATTAATTTGACAGTACCAGTTGAATACAGCTTTTTACTGAAAAGCTGTTTTATACCTCCTAATTTTTTTCTTAACGAAACAGGCTGCTCGACTATAAGAAAAGGAGAATTAGAAAAACAACAGTATTTGGTCAGATTTTTAGCGTAAATTTTCTTTACTACTCCTACCCTCAAAGTTCTTTCAATAATTGTATTTATATATCTATTCCTTGTTTCTCCATGTGTTTTTCTTTAAAAATATTAAATTTACTATTAATTATTTATACATATAATACATCAACCAAATTGCTGTACCTTATCCCCCCCCCCCATATATATTAAACCGTGAGGTCAGAAATATACTAAAATTATGAATGGACTATTGAAAATGAGAGCCCAAAAAACAATCTAAATTTAGGAGTTAGGCATTATGTTAACTAGAACCAAAATAAGGATTTCTCACTAATCTCAATTATTCACCTCTTTATTTATTTTTCTTTATAAAGCAACACATTTTCTTTTAGTATTTTGAACTCAAAATGACAATCAGCTAAATTTTGATTTCCTGGAAAGCTATTCAAAAACAATTATTTAGCAAGTACATCTACTAGATAACATTGAAGTGTTGAGAGTGAATAAAGAGAAACTAGAGAAAGAATACAACTGCCTGAATATGATAATGGTTCATTCCCTGAATCAAAGTTGAGTAATAACATGAGTATATTTGTGGTCTCTTATGAGCCATTTCAACACAAAGATCCAAGGACTTTTTTTTCAATATATTGCAGCCATATCATGCCTATTACTTTATATTTTTTTACATTAACTCCTCTTTTGCCAGATGAATTTAGAAAATTAGTAGCATATGCTTTAGCTCCAGATCACTATTTTCTGAATCATTTTCTAATTAATGACTAATATTCATGTAAGCCAGTCTTTTAACTAGGAATCATCACTTAAATTTTAATCAAATAGTTTTAATACTATGAAATCTATTTGCTTTTAGTTGTCAAATAACTGACTTGGATCTCATATATACATATATCCATAGTCAAAGCACATATGTATTTTTGACAGTAGTTTTAATGTTAGCTACTTTAGTTGAAATTTTGCAATGAGAATATTTTAAGGCACACTTATACCTAGAGAATAAGTACACTTGCATCTTCATAACATTTTCCAAGACTACGATAAATAAAAACTAATACAAAATTTGGCCATCTGTAGAAGTGAATCAATATTTTAAATGATGGTATATTTGAGAAATGGAAATATTCAGAATATTAACAATATTTCTGAGATACAACTTTGGAGAAACAGCCTAAATATTTTTTTTCAACTAATTTTGAGAAAAAATATTCCTTTGGAAAAGACTATGGCAAGTGTTAGATTTTTGGCAGGTAAGTATTTGTAAAAGAATTTAATTTAGATTTTATTTATTTGATATGAAATTAAAAGACACATTTTAATTTCTGAACTAATAGAACACCAGAACAATGTAAACATTTCAGTCTCTAACATGAACCAGATATACTTTTATTAACTGAATGGATTTAAATGGACTAGGACACAAATGCTCAATAAGAGCAGTTACAATTTTTCATATGCATTAAACAATCTTTTCTTTTACCTGTTGTATTATAAACGTCACCCTAGCTTCTAAACAACACCACAAAGCAGATCAGGCATGAAATGGTCATAAGTATTAGTTTCCAGTAGATTTCACTTTTCTTTTTCAAGCTACAGCTTGACATTTTGCAAACTCTCTAGAGACCAAACAGTGAAATCGAGTTACTGCAGGAGTGAACTGTAAATTCCATGAAACCATGTAATATATCTTAACACAGATGGACACAGTACATTAAAATAACTGTGGATGATAATAGAACAATACCATCTGTTTTGTCTAGGGAAGACAACGCACATCAACTACACTGTCAGTCATATCATATATCTTTAGTGTCATCATGTGGTAGACGACAACTCTATATGTCAGGCCAAGTGTACACTTCTTTAGGGATTACTGAAAACAGTAAAAAGTTAACTCTGAAACAGAATTCATGAAAAGATCCTTCAAGTAAATAGAAGGCCCCAAGACCTAATAGTTAAACTTGATAAATGTAAATAGATGCCACATTTTCCCATTTCTAAATCAATACATAAACTTTAGGATATTTAAAGATCTCCAAAGAAATGTCTTTAACCAAATATTAAAAAATGTAATTTAAAGATAAATTCTAGAAAATTATTACTTTTTAAACCCTTAACAGTACTTTACCTATACAGTCAGCTGCAAAACCTTAGTTTGTACCATAAAAGTAATGAGGTCATTTGAATAAGAGAGTGTAAATTAATCCAATCTCCTTTTCCTATCTGTGCTGTGTAAAACCTCAATGATTATGGTTTCTAAATTATGCTCAAGGGCAAATTAAAATTTGCATGAGAGTTTTGCTTGATGAGCTGAATGTTGTAAAGACAACAGCATGCAGTGTAACTTTTAATTTTGCATATTTCCCTAAAGACAGTAGACTATATGGATTATAGGAAAATGAAGAACTTGGCAAGCTGCTTCCAACTGAACAATGTATCTTCCTAACTGACATTAATTAAAACTCCCAATGGCCTCTTAAACACCTGACAAATACAATAAATGTTGCATACTGTGTGGGTACTATCTACTAGCAGGAGGTAGTTGTATAGAGTGTGCTTTTGAAGGCAAAGATTGTAATTCAAACTACATAACCAACAGGCTTTGGAAAGTAAAAATAACTATTGCTAAAAGCATAGCTAGCCAGTTAATGCAAGACAGAATTATGACTGTACAGTCAGACTTCTTTCCTTCAGTTCAACAGAAATAAATGACAAGATAAGTATACTGATATTGAACTGTATTATTTAAAAAAAATACTCACCTGCCATGAGTATTATTGCTCAAAGTTTTCCACCATTTCACATTATATCTCTGAGAATTAGGGGTAGGCTGTTATCATATTAAAATCTAAGTTCACATAATCCATTCTCAAAAATAAAATTGTTTTCATCTAAATATATGCATTCTTACATGTTAAGAATGTGCTTTAATAAAAATTACAATTACAGCCATCTTCTGATCAACCAAAAAATACAAATTACAATAAATGAGATCATGCACAGTCACAAAGGAAATGCTCAAAAGGAAGCTTGCTATGAATATAAAATAATGTGAACTTAACATAAAAATTCCAGCCGTTACTATCTAAATTCTCAATAGACAGTGTCAGCCACTTAATTTGCAGGTACCTACTCCCTAATGCCTCTCTTTGCAATGTTACTTAGACTTTCTTCTGTGCTAAACCCAGAAAAATGCCTGTCATTTGCTGTCAGATTTCTCATCTCAAATTCTCCTCAAGCAACAAAGTCAGGTTAATTGCAGTCACTTTTACATTCACCAGCAACTTACAGAGTCAGCGCACAGTAACAATTGGCTGTGAAATGAGAAAAGGCGCCCCATCCCTGGAATTGGGCGAGAGATAACAAATGTGAAAGGATTGAATGCAAATACAGATAAATAAAACCTAATAGAAAACACCGCCTAAATTTAATGTAACAACCATTCGACCTCATTAGCTGAACATGTTCTTGTCATATTTCTTCAGTAAATGCTTTCATGCAAGACAGGCACAATGAATATGCTACCACTTGTACCTATAGTGAATGGAACTTAAGAATGCACTGTAGATACACAACACTGCATAGTAAATAGATTTAAATCCTTTTTTATAAATTAAAAAATCCATTTCTATGAAAAAAGTGTTAATAGAAACGAGAGTATACCCAATTCATGAGACAAATTACATAAATGCTTATTACCATTTTGTTGTGGATCTTTTACATGAGTATTGAAGTAAATATCTTATGTGTGCTTAACCTAGAAACACCTAGTATTTTGGTAGATGCTTGTCAATTGAGATTAAGCGAGTATAAGTTTATGTGAGAAAATTAAATATTGGCATCAGAGAAACATTCTTTCTAGGTTATCAAAAAGACTGAGCACATGTTCACAGCTGGTTCAAAATAGTACAGATCAGCTTCACAGGAATTGTAATTTTCTGAACAACAGTACAATGAACAATAAATCCAATATGCCAAAGACAGGAATTTGGTTGTAAAAAAGGAAAATATCATCAATTAATATTGTAGTGTGATAAAAGGTCATGTGTGAAGATGTGAGTGTTAAGTTTTCCTATATCGTTGTAAACTTGCCACTATTTACCAGTGCCTTCTGAAATATGTATGTAATAACTGACATATCATCTAGTCAAACAATGTCTAAAATCTTGCCTATGTGACAGTTTAATAATTTATAATCAATCAATGAGAATAAATTGTTCAAGATATATTCTCTTTTTGGTGCACTTGGTAAGACTTTAAATATTAATTTCTAAAAGAAAATATTTTGATACATATTTTCATTCTTGGTATTTCATTTGAAAAGTGCGTTTGTAATTTCATTATACTTTGTAAATTCATTTAAAACTTTTGCTTAAACAATTTAATCTAAAGTCGGTACTTTTCGTATCAAATAGGAAGTTAAAATAAGTTAAGGGGGAAGCAAATAAATTATGCATTTTAAAAATGTGTATAGGAGAGGTTATCGTGGCTGTTATAAACTATTATTTACTCATATGTCAACATAAAACTTCAATAAGGACAGAGAAACAGAAGATGAAAATATAGAATGAGACCAGCTGGACTTAAATGCTGGAGTTAGCATGGCTATTTATTTCCTTACACATAAACAGTCTTTCAAAAGATTTTGCACTTCCTTGATCAAATTATCAGGGTTAAAGATTTCAAAATAAAATTATAAAAAGTACAGATAATGGTGTTATTTATTAAATGTCATATGCTTTTAAGACACAAATGTCGCTATTCTCAATTTCAATTTGAAAATAAAATGTGTGGATTCTAGCTTTTAAATGGTTATTCAAATACTCTGTTTTACATGAATAAGGATAAATGAACTGACAGTAAGAAACTACTAACCAGATGTTTTTAAACACCATCACCTGAAACACCTTCAAAGCAGTACAGTCTCATAAAACATTCAGAAAGATTATCTGACTTAATGAATGCTCAAAATGCAAGCTCAAATCCACCCTGTAAAGCAATCAAGTTTTAGCAACTATTTTGACCTTAGTGACACAAACAATTAATTCTGCAAACCTAATATCAAAATAAAATTCTACATCTAATGCAGAATAATTTCTCAATGTAGTTAATCTAAAACAACATCTGAAATATGCTACGTCCATATATTATACATTCTACTACTTAGTACTAATTTTTGAAGATTAGAAAGGAATGAAGGAGAGAGAAATTCATCCAGAAAAGGCTTTTTTTTAAACTAATTGTTCAGTAAATATAAGATAGCAGAGCATACTAACAGAGATGTGGCTACCATTATATCACAAACTTTAAAATTTAAAGATATCCTAGCTTTCAGAAATATTCCAATATTCATTAATTAAATGGTAGAAATAAATGCTAGTTACAGTTTATCAATCCTTTTTCACTTCACCTATCCACGTATCATTAAGTATTTGATGCGATTCATTCCAAACACCAACTCTTCATGCTAAATACATGGCTAATTTAAGTCAAACTACTCACCTCTATAAAGTACAAAAGCCATAAAAATTAAGACAAATATTATGTTCCCAAAACAGACCATTTTTGCCAGAAGTTCACGGCAAACAAAATTTTACTTTGTTTACATCACTGCCTCTTAAATCATATTTCTAAACAAAAGATCTTGGTCAACAATGATTAGCTCATTATAATTATAAGAAGTAATTTAACTCTTTGTGTAAAACTTTACATCTAAATAACAACACGTAGAGATAAATTTATACAATTATTTCACTTTTTCACTTCTTGTGAAATTTGTTTTAATAAATATGCTTTATGGTTTTTAGTTTTGAAATATAGCGAATGTTAGAATTAAAGGCAATAACTGCATCAATTTTATAGAAAAGATATGTTAATCCTTAATGAACTTAAAGCCCCATTCTAAAATACATTCATGAAAGAACAAAAAATTCAGTAACCTTAGGTACCTAACTATATTAATATAGTTAAAACATAACCAAGGGAAGGGATATTTACAAAGGTTTTTGCATGTTTATTTATTAAATTATTACATATATTTCTGTAGACACTTCCTAAAGTAGCTATGTAGGCACCCACCATACCCATTGTGTTAAATCACTTTTAGAAGGCACTCTACAGACATACAATACATGACTGAAGTTTCTCAGTCATCTGAAGGGCATAACTTTTGTGTTTACTCTTGTTTATGGTTTACATAATGAACTGCATAGAACAAAGTAAACTTCAAACTCAGGTTATAAACACACCTTATAGACCTAATCAAAATGCCTCCAGAGTACTAAAATCTATAGCTATGATTTTACTCATTTTCTGTTTATTTAACATCCAATTGGAGCTATGAAAATAAAGAAAGATTTCTTGGCATTTTTTCATAACCTATCATCTACTGATACTCAACTGCGATGTTCATTTACAATTACTATTTTTACTTGGCTTTATAAACGCAATCCACTGGATTTGCAGGCAAAATTGAATCTGGCTAAAAATACTTAGGACTCTCACTTAGGGAAATTAGGAGGAATATTGTAGCATTCCACTGGTGTGATATTTCCTGCGAATACACCAAAGGCAGAAAAGGGCTATCCTGAAAAACTGTATTTATTAAAGTAACCAGTAAAATAAGCTAATCCTGGGACTGTGGTAGGCATATAATTCCTATGATTGTTAAAACAAAATATAAATTGTTTTTCTAATACTTATTGTCTGTGAAAAAAATGAAAATTGTAAAATAATAGATAAACCATTCAAAAGTACTATGTAGCTCTTATAAAAGATTATTCTTGAAAACAATGCCTAAAGGTTAAGACATTATTCAACCCATGTAACTTTTTTAATGCTGTTATTGTTTAAAATAATGTATCTATTAAATTTTACTCTAGTGTGGGCATTTGCTTTAACTTTTGAGATGTATTTTTCTCATTATATACTACCTTAAAATGTGAATTATTTCACATAATTTGCAATCTTTTCAATAATCATTATTTTAATGGATGTAATTTTAATGATTTTTAGGCATTTAGTTTAAGTGCAATTCAGAGTTACAAAGAAATAATATTTATTTTAAAACAAATATAAACTTTTCAAACAAGTGTACTCATTCTGGCCTAATATAAGTATATGCTTTCAAAGCTTTCTTTTCTCTGTCACTGTTTCTACAGACTTGAGTCAGTGAAGAATGAAGTGGCTATTTTTTGGTTGAAAAGAATTTTTTTTTTTTTTTACAAAATCAGGAAAAAGTAATCTCTTATAAAATGAATAACAGACTACTTAAAAGTGTACCTTTATTTTGTAGTTGTTAACATTTCCAGATTTAAAGAGAATATTGCATTTTATGAGACACTTAGGAGAACACAAAAAGTGCTCTTTAATGTTATTGAAAGATGTATATTCAAAATATCTTGGAATGAATTTCAAGAAAAGCAACAGATCGTAGTGTTTACATGATTTACAATCTCTCAGCAGATTTCAACTAATTAATAGCTAATATTTGCAGCTAACGCAGGCAAGCATCTGTCTTTTGAAAAGTCCTTGTGGTCCTTTTCACCTTAGCTCAGACTTGAAGAAATTCATTGTATAAGCAAGTATCAAGTAATGTGGCCCTCTGGTGGAAAACTAAGTATCACGTTCTGCAGCACAATGTAAGATAGTAAACTAGAAGCTATAAAATATTTGTTACAAAGCTTTACAGACCTTCCAAAAATCATCCTGTGAGCTTAATTAATATCCTGACACCTGAAGGGTACTCTGGTACTGGTATGACGTAACTAATATGAAAATCTTATCTCTTTACTCATCCTTCAATCATGTTCCAAATAATAATAAATTCTCAGCATCTTTTAGCTTAACACAACATGCTCAGTTTGCTATGAATACATTTTTCATATTCAATAAAACAAGCTTATTTGTTTTAAGGAAGCACTGAGGAAAACAAAACTTACCTGCTGTTGTTGCAGATGCAGCAGTTCTACTGTGCTTACTTCAGAGCTGGTGTCACCACTTGATCTTCCATCTCTGCTGCCAGCATCTAATTGGCTGCTTAGAGTGCTCATTCCATTTTGATTCATTGAACTGTTGCTTATTGTCTCTGTCGCAGATTCCTGCATCATGACTTAATACCTAAAAGTGATTAAGAAGTATCAATTAACACACGTTACACCTTCACACTTCCATTATCAAGATGTCCCTCTCTGCCAATTACAGAGACAGCATCTTTAGAAGAGGGGGAAGAAAAAAGCCTTGAATAGTCATTTACCAAGGAAAGCAATACAAATTCAGCTTTCATCCAGATGCTAATCATTGAAATTATGGTTTCTATAAGCAATTTTTGTGCGGTTACATTTAACAGCCAAAGTAACATACCATGCATATAGCATGGTCAATAGCATTTATGAATGACCACATTTTAAAATCTACCTATAAAACCAGTTTAAATGAAGGCATGATTGCACACTCTGTTCTGTTTCCTATTATCTACCTTTGACAACCATGGATGACTATACAGCCTTATTTTAAATATTCACTATCTTGATTCTGTCAGAATTTTACAGCACATCTTATGCAAGGCTGTTGTTTAATGATGCACAGCTAATCATACAAAATTAAAATTTTGTAAGGGTGTTACAAATCATATGGTACCAACCAATGATAAATAGTATAATGGGTTTCTTTTTTTGTGACTAAATAAAATTTTGCCTTGGAGGCATTTTAAGAAAAAGCTCCTGCTGCAAACACGTCAGATATTGCCTATTTTTTTAATCAAACAGCTCATATTCATTTATTTTTCTGACATTTAAAACATTTAATACTGTCCTTCCTGGGAAGTAATTAAGCTTATGCATGAGCAGCAATCAAACTGTTCACTTGAAGATGACTTAAAACTCAATTTTAACATAGGCAAATAAATGAAAGATATAAAATTAATTTTCCAGGCATGTATAAGATATGAAAGCTGGAAATAAAATCTATCAAGAATATCACTAATGATTGTGCTAAAAACAGCATAAATTATGCATATTACCTTCTCTACAGTAATAAATGTTTTATCATTTTCACTGCATAAATATACTGTACTTTCAGGATAGCAATGAGATGTCCTGCCAAGATCAGTGGAAATCCTTGCAGTAAATAAAGAACCAATGTGCTCTTACAAACCAGAATTTCACAGTACATCCTGAATCTGTGGTTTAGAAAGATCATTTTTGGCTCTCAAAGACCTCTGAATCCTGTGCCATAACCTAATGGATGCACTTCTCTGTTTTACTTCTATGGACAGAATTGCAGAAACAACCTGGCTGTGCTGTGACTTTAACAGTAATACCAGACAGTGGACTTACCCTAAAGGACAGTAAACTTATCACTCAATCTAATTTGTTTTTTACATGATTTCAATATTTTAAACTTGATCATATTTTAATGCTTTGTCCATTTAAAATTTTGAAAGGCATTTATTATAAAGCAAATGCAAGCTTCCTATCTCTTCCTGTCATGGAGAAAATGTTTTCCCCAGTTATCTTTTAAAATGCGATGCACACAAACACTAAATACAAAAAGAATCACAGACATACCCAAAAGACATTTTTGAATGCCAATATTAAAATTGTTAAAATTAATGTTTATAGTATCATAGTTTTAACAGATATTTTCATCAAAGCCTAAATTATTAAATTACTTTTCCTACTCTTATCAAGTCCATTAAAAAAAAAGACATACTGATTTAGTAAAAAACGTCAATAGCTGGACTAGCAAAGCAAGTTAGTGTAACAAAAATTACATATACAACTTAAAGCTGTTTGGATAATAAAAAAACAACAGAAAACATGAGCAGAAAGGAAATAATTGCTGTAACTATAGTAAACAATTTTTGAGCGAAATGTGTTTATAAACAAATAGGTTTTGCTAAACATCTTATTGAACATTAACAAAGAAAAAATCATATAAATTAAAACTGATACATAGTGATGGATTTTATAAGAAAAAAACAAAGCTAATACTCTTTTCTGAGATTAGGCAGCTAATAAGTATTCAAATTAGGCATAAATTTTACATGCACAATGTTTAAAATATTCAGAGAAAAGGTCTGATTGCCTTTACTAGTTATATGAAAATTATAATTTCAATCCTCTCCAACTGTAGAAACAGATAGGCATAACTTTTACATATTGCATTTAAATTTTACTTTTGAGAACATGTCTGGAATATGTGTATATATGTGTATGTTTTTATTTCATCACCTAAGTTATTTGAAATATTTATTGTTTCTGGATGGAGTTAGCAACACAAGGAATAAAAATAAAACACTATATTTTCCAGTGTAGCAGACAGGTGCAGCATTTACTACTAACCTTTGTGTAGTAAATCTCAGGACCAATTGGATGAATTAAAGAATTCTACATGTATTACTGTGTCATAATCAAGGCCATCAAATAATTAAGAATAATCAACAAGCAAAGAGGCATGTGTCTAAATCTTTATTACAATTACGAAGAAAGACCTAAATAACTTATAATTCCTTTTAACTAAAGGATTTTATTCTTAGCCCTTGTGGAGTTTTTAACTTTATAAAACCCTACAGTATAAACTGTTATTTACATTTTAAGTTCAATCATCTAAGAGTTAGTAAAATAATGCTTAAGAAAACTATAACAGTGATAGTACTTTTTGCTCTACAAAAGAGGAGTATCTGATACAACACTTATATGAAAAAAGAAGGGTGATTGTGTAATTAGATGATTATACTGTACATTTCACTTAAAAAAGCTTGGAGTATGTTCACTATAAAGGAGGAATTTTTCAAGGACAATGCAGATTATTTCTAGCATTTACTAAGTTTCTCTTGGTAACACTTCCACTTATTTCCCAATATAGGAAATATTTCCAGCACAATGTGAAGTGCTGTTTACCTTTTAAGTATATTTTAAATAATAATAAATTCAGCATATTCTTTCAGAGTGGATGTGCTTATGATCCGAAACATACCAAGCTAAATTATTCATTCTTATCAATCCCACCACAAACATTTTACAAAAATCAGTGAAAATAAATTCCAGATCATTAAAGGGAAAGATGAATCTGGGAGTCCCTGTTTTAATGTTTGTCTGAACTGTAAGTTAAACCCTTAAGTCTTTCATCGTACACAACTTTTCAGCCACATCAGAAAATAACTCTTCAGATCTTACACTCAAACGATACAGTTAGACTTTTCTCCCCTGCATTAAGTTTTCCTTCCTTTCCTTTTTCTTTCTTCTTTTTTAAGCAAGTCACTGTACAGATACTTATTCTCTACACCACTTCCCTTTTGAAACATTAAACTGACACTGGAACTGACTGCACAAGATTGCATTTTCTCTTCCTAAACAACTTGAATTGAAAGGTTACTTAGTGTAACAATATTTACTTGCAGAATTGTGTTGTTACCAAGGGTATAATGGATGGTGGCTATGCAGGTTTACGCAAGAATGAGTGAAGCATGAGGCATTAGCCATGTGTTTGACATGTTTCAAATTGCTATAATCCAGCATTAAACACACCCAGCAATTCATGCCATTTCTTGCAGCCATAATCTTGAATAAAGCGTGCACAACCACTTATTATATAAATTAGTATATGACTCCCTGTTATAGTCACAACAGTGCTTTTGTGTTTATTTTGCATCAAGATGTAGTCTTTTATTTGTACAAATAGCAGGATATAAAGACATAGCTCAATTAGGCCTCCTTACTTTATGATAGGGTAGTACTGAATGCTAGACTTGTTGGTTTTATTTCTTCCTCGTAGAGTTATATGTTCTATTGGTATAAAACTGTATCATGTGAGATAGTTACATGCCAGAGTGATAACAGAAACCTGCATGTATCCTATTCCGTATTCGCAGCAATGTTTAAAAGTTTGAAACTTGACCTGGACAAGCATAGTTAATTGTGTTATCTCAGCCACCACCAGGGACACTACTGGTCCTTGTTGCTTACTCAACTTTCTCTATGGTCTTCTTTCTCATCTCTTCTCCTTCCCTGTTTCTTATGCTCCCTATCTCTTTTCCACTCCACATTCCCATGTGTATATGTGTGCACATGAATATGTGTATCTATATATGTTTATAAAGATAGATCAATCAATCTGTCTATGTATGTCAGGGATTATAAAGAAGATAAAAATAGCCTCTACTTTGAACCACACTCTGCATTCTACATAAACAGTCTGTCTTATAATCTTAGTGCCTTAATATTAACTCTCATTTTGGTGGAGGAGTCTTACTATTTAATCAAAACAAATGGATGAAAAAAAAATGACTTCCCAGAAAACTAAGAACAAATAACAGTACATATAAAACATTTCTAACAATTCATTTCGTCAACTTTTCTTAAACAAAATGATTACAGTGACCTTGAAAGACACTTTATGTCTAATATCTGATTCATTCCAGTGTCCAATTTATTTAATCAAACATATGCATTAAATCCAAATAGTTTTGAATATGACATTTTAAGAAAAGTAAGGCATCAAATTTAAAACATATATTCTTAAATACCTCCTTAATCTTTGATCAATTATCAATATCAAATATTAAATATTTCTATGCAGATTCACACAAGAAAGAGTTAAATATTAAGAAAACTTAACATATGTAACAAGAAACCTCATACGTTTACCTCAAAATATTAGTTAAGTTCTAATTTTGAAAACTTGACTGTGATTTAAAACTTCTGAAAGAAACTAGCGTTTAAATAATGATAACTCTTGTGCTCTAGTGGAATTAATTCATCATAGGCACCATGCATAGTGCATTTGAGATCCAGCACTGCTTTGCTAAAAGTCTTTAATGCTAAGATTGCCTAATAAATCAAAATGCCAAATATGAAGGATATAGTTGAATGTGTAAGAACAAAAATTGAAACAGCACATGAATATTTTCAATTTTTAAAAACTGAAGCAGGATGTCTTTTAAAACATGATTTGGGGAAGGTTATCTGTTATAGCAAGTGATATTTTTACTATACCAAGTGACATAATTTTAAGTAAATTAAAATTAACTTGTTTATTAAGTATTTGTTACTACTTTTTACTTATTTAAACAAAATGCCTAAAATGCTATACACAAATTAGAAAAAAAAACACTTTAGTAAAAATTCAGACTTTCATTCAAAAAGGTTAATATTTCAAACATGCAAAGTAGAAGGACATTTTAACAAAATATTTTTTAAATGATAATGACTACATTTTAGCAAAGATAATACTGTTAGATCTTCAACAATAACAAAATCTAGGAAACATAAGTAAAGCCAATGAAAAACTTATCTTCCATTTCAATCAGCTATTAATTAACTTAGCAACTAAGTATATTATATTTTGCTCCTGGATAAAAAATAAAATAAGTTTAAAATGGAAACAAAACATAAATATTTAATTATGAAAATATTATAAAATACTAAAATTAAGTATTTAATCCCTATGCTATTTCACTTAAAGTGCAATGAAGAATTTGAAAGAATGGTGGCCATGTAGATGTATTTTACTGCAACATTATGATTCTGTATCTATAGTTCAGAAGCCCCCTTCAGAAGTATAATTGAAAGAGATTTTATAATACTATATTGATAATTCTGGTTAACTAATTACTCAAAAATATATTTCAAAATTATATTTTCACATTAATCTTCATATTCTAACATCTTGTCTTCACATTCATATAATTTCTGTATATATTTATTTCTCAAACATGTAAAAATGTACACCAATTTTTACTTTTCAAGGTACATGCTAAATTGTCAGTCTTCCTTTTAAATATATAAATTTTAATGTTAGTTTAATTCATTAAATCATTTAAATGTTTTAAAATCAATCCTTTATAGCATTAATATTTATTTTTTCAAAACAAGGGGGATAGGAAGCTTAGGGAAAGTTTATTTCACCCTGCTACTTTATAACCTCTGACAAATTGAGTTTTCATTAATTTATAATGCCAAAATGTAATATTTTTTGCAATGTGTTATCCTATCTAACTGTATGTCTTAGATATGTAAGAGGAGGACTTAAAAACTAAAGAATGTTACCTAGTTGCCAATACAAAAATAAATACTGGCTACAGTTTACAAGACACCAGGTAAGCAAGTATATTCTGTCACAGATTTTCTTGTCTTTGCCTGAAGAAGAAAAATTGTCAAATCCTGCAACCAGGAATATTTTCGTTTAGGAAACAGAATTTAACAGTAAAAATGTAAGGCAATAAGAAATAATTAGCTCTCCAAGAACATAGAAAGACCTGCCTAGCAGGCAAAACCTCCCTCTTTTTTATTTAAAAAGCTTAGTGATTGAGTTGTGCAAGCTTGCAAGCTTCCATGCAGTGGGTCCACTTACAGTCAAATTCCCAAAGGCTGGACTACTTGCAATAGCCTTCACTGATCCCCTGGCTAATGAGAGCTCTGAGTATGTACTTCTCTTGTGATGGCATTTTCACCTTTCCTGCCACATATCTTTCCTTAACCCTCAGGCTTACTTTACTTCAATCTTCAGTCTCCCGCCCACAGCAACTCCCTGGGATCCCTTGCTGTTTTTCCTGAGCATAATACAGCTCTTCCACGGATCCTCATTCTCTTGCCCTTTCAGCACTTTTTACTTCCAGGCTATCTTTTGGGTGCCAAATGTCCCTTTAATACTGCTCCTCAGCAGACCCACCTCTTGCCTTCCCATTGGAAGACCCACAGCATAGGCGGTACGCTTAGAGAAATTTCTTCCACCGGTCTCAACTTAGTGCAAAAGTCCAACATGAGCCTAGCAGGTGGATGCAATGGTAAGGCCAGAATTTTAATGTAACCACATGATTGTGTTGAATGGAGTTTTAGAATCTGGTCAGGAAACTGCTTTTGTCCTTTCTGGGGTGTGTGTGTGTGTGTGTGTGTGTGTGTGTGTGTCTATGTGTATGTAAGCGACCTGTCACAGAGGTTTTTTGACGGCATAGTTTCAAAATAGTTTATACGTTATTCTTGAGATTGAACTTTATTTTAGGCATTAGAATAAACATTTTTATACTTAGCTTCCACTAATGTTAGCATGAGTCACACTCATACCATGGTCTGATCTAAATAGCAAGTATGCTATAAGGATAAATAACTGTGAGGGATGTAGGGTAATTTATACTCTGGCATCAAGTGTGTATAAAACAAGTGACTATGAAGCAGACCTACTCCAAAAACACCTGTATTAACACACAACATGTAACTATTTTAAACTGTTTTAAATGTTAGCACACATCAGAATATCAAAACATGGCATAAACCTTTCCGTCAAATTTCAAACCTAAACTTGCTGTTTGCAAGTATTTCTTGTCCTATGTAAAATGAAATCCACCTATTTTGGATGAATTCACTATTGCTGCCAAACAATAGAAAATGCCAATAACAGTATGTCATAAAGTATATATTTAATACACATAGATTATCAAAATTTGACATACTACATATGTATATACATGCATATACTTGACATACATATACCTATAACAATTGCCTTTATATGCACAGTCAGTTAGCATAGATGTATTCTGTAACTTAGCATTTAATAATACAGGCAAAATGCAGGAAAAATATAGCCAGTTGATAAAAGCAACTGAGAAGAGTGTGTGTTTAGCATTACAATTTAATGCATTTAGACAGAAAAATTTTACATTATCATTTGTCAGTTTTATTTTAATTACTAGTCTTTCAGTTAGAGCTCTAGGAAACACACTGTTATTCCAATTTAGAAGAAAGTCATTATGAGTTCTTACAGAAGAATCAGAAGGCAGATTGGAGGCACCTGGGTTTATTGAAATAGCCACATCATTCTTATAAGTATACTTAAAACATTTGCCTCAGTTTAACTAAACATGAAAGATATACGCCTGAATCCTTTGCGATCGACAGGTTCTCATAAAAAAAAGCCATTGACCTTCTGTATAGCTTTTTTTTTTGAACCCACAGCTTCAATCATCACCAGAAAGTTCTTTAAAACACTACAATAGCTTTGTTTCTTTTCTGCTTTAATTAGCCTTCATGACGTCTGTTCTGTGAGTTTCCTTTTCTCTTTCTTTTTTTCTTCTATGGTTCCTAAAGATTCAAATGTCTGAGAAAAAGAACTTTGTAATACTAACAAGAGTCACTACAACTTCTTTAGAAGAAGGTGAGTGGATGTAAAGTTAATGATCGAAGCAGACACAAACCTCGCTAGCCACAGAATCTTGCCGAAGTAATACAGAGACATAGCTCATCATGACGTTTCCAGTTATTTCTAGCTGATTAGGGTCATTATGTTGGAGGGCTGATTTATGTTGTCATTCCCTCTCACCAGTCCTGCATCAATAGATCTTAATGAATTGGTAAATAAGGGTGAAGATTACACTTGACAACACAGAAACATTTCTCATTCATACCAGACAAGATTTATGTAACCAATTAGGACATAACAGGAGAAATTGGTCAGAAGAAAAATAATCTTTCCAGAAGAAAATTACCCAAGTCCAAACCTCTACAAAAACAGATAACCACTGGAGTTTAATATCAGCTCAATCATGAGTATAACGCCTTGTTGTTCCTTTTAAAGGAATATACCCTCACAAAAATCTGAATGCACAGAAAGTTTTTGAAAAATGTATTGCAATGTCTACTTTCTACAACATTTTAAGATGCAATAAAGTACTTTTCACAAAGTAGAAACATCTTGGGGCATAGCACTTTACTGTATATCAGTTCGTGTATTTCTTTCATAGTATCATTTCCAAGTGTAAGAATGCTATAAGAAAATACCAAAAATGCATGCATTTGTCAGTTTCTAAAGAATGATCATTACCAAAAAAGGTTTCATAGTTCGTATATTTAATAGAAGTAATTATTTGCTTTTCATTTTTACAGTTCCAGTGTCAGTTGTTGCCCCTTTGTCATTAAAATAAAGATGAAAGCACTGATCATCAATAGGAAACCACAGCTTTAAAAACCCAAAGGGCTGGTGTGAACAGAGGTGGAAAATTAAAGCAAAGTGATATTGAAACAGCCCAATTCAACTTGCTTTAAGCATATGCAAATGAGATTCCACTGCTTAACTGCATCATTTATGTCGATAATATCAGCATCATCATTACAGGACTTGCAATTAAATTACATCATAATTAGCATTTCAAAGTGATTGGTTAAACTTTAAAACAAATACCCAATTCTGCTAATGAACAGTGCTAATTGACTTGTACATACTAAATAAAAGAGCTAGGTAAATATATGTTCTAGAAACAATTTTTAAAATTCATTGTTTTAGAGGAAACAAAAGGCAAAAATTAAAAACAGAAAATTGCCAGGGGGATTTGTATGCTGAAATTTAAAACATGTAGCATTTAATTTTATTGCACTAAAGAACCTATTAGATTCTAGACTCTAGAGAACAATGTAAATTATCTGCTTTCAGAATGGAGTTGGGCCAATTCTCTCTATCAACTAATCACAAACCTCATTATGCATAGGAGTATTAAATTATGAAGAAGCAGCATTCCACATTCCAGCACAAATCCCTATGAAATGTTAATAATATGCCCACAATAGCAGAATACCATGCCTTACTTGCCTTCATGAATAATAAAGTAAACAAATTATCTATCCACCTTTTACAAAGATTATTAGTATTTCAATGCATATAATTTTAGTGATCTTTAAAATAAAACGTGAGCATATTCTGTGAAATTTTACATGGGTTTAAAAAAAAAAGTCAAACAAGTTGTTTTCTAATAGAGCACCATATTTCTAAACAGATACCTGTAACCCTTCAATACCGTAATCTCTGTTAGGTATAGGACTCTGCTTTCCGTGAAAACCAACAGGCTAATCATTAAACCTCTCCACATATTCTCAAGTATACTTTGTTTCCAAACTTGTACAGCAGAAGGGCTGACTGTAAAGACAAATAAATATGCCTTTAAAAGGGCATTATGAATCAACTATAGATAATCAGATTTAAAGTCAGAACAGTTCAAAGATAAGGAACAATCGAAAATAAGAATGAAAGTTTTGTATTACACACACTATTGACGGTGAAAGTGATTCAAGATCTATTCTAAGCACACATTAAATAGAGTGCTTTTTTTTTTTTTTTTTTTGGTCGCGGAGGCTAGTAAACAAAAACCTGTCACTTAGGCTACAGTAAAGTGAAAATACATGGATGAAATTTAGGCGTTATTACCTGAAGGTGAAGAATGTCAAACTGGTCAGAGGAAAAAGCTGTTGGTGTTGCAGTAAGAACTTGCTCATGTCACTGGGAAAAGTGCAGCTATCTGTGTCATCCTCCGACTGTGTTTATACTGGCTTGCATCATAAACAAGCTCATCTTCCCTCATAGCTTGTTCATGCATACTTAAATCACCTTGCCCATTAAAAATGTCTCTCTTGACAATTATTCTATCATTTTCAGTTGTCATCAGGCAATTACTGTAGCCCTATGATGGGCCCAATAGGATCCCAGGTTCTGAGACGCTTTTTTGAAGCAGACAGAATGAAAAGTGCAGAAATGGTAATTTATAGCCCAGCCAAGCTACCTTTTTAACTGACACGAGTATTAAACTATCACACCTATTTGAAGAAATATAATGCAGTTTCTAAAAATTACTCATCAATTCACAATGTGTATTCCTGGAAATATATATATTTCTTCACAATCAGTGATTTGAAAAAGACCCACCAACCAATTTTTAATAAAATCATGAACATGCATATAAAACTACAAAGATCATCTGAGCCCTGACTCCTTTCATGTTTGTACAAGCTTAGCAAAAAGAGTTTCCCCTTTAGCACAAAATAAACATCTGCTCTACACAGCACGGCACAGAGAGGCACCCAAACGTGTGGTCAAACTCCCTTTTCAAAAACTTGCGCCCTGACACATACTGGGGCATTTACTAAAAGCAAGATGACATGGTTATTATCAAACCATGAAAGCAGGAACCCTGTCTTTATTCTTCTCAAGATCTTGCAGATTTTTTTTTAATACAAAAGAGGCCTTCTTTATTTGCTGTCTTTACTAGTGATAGCTTAAATCTACATTACGCTACTGACAGATCAAAAACAGTTCCTGTGTCTGGTCTCCCGGCTTTTCCCTCGCAAACAGATACAATGCTCTAGTTCATTTCAATGAGCTACAGTCTCAGAAAAAAAAAAAAGTAAAGCAATTGCCAAATCTACCAGTAAAGCAATCGTAAAATCCCACCCCTCTCTAAACTCTTACAGATATTCTCTTAGCAAAAAGTAACGTACCTTCTCTGGAAATGTTAGAGCAAACTTCCCGGTTTCAACTTCATAGGAGTTTGTTAAAGAGATGAAAAATTAGGAAGATTCAAAAAAGCCAGCACAGAAAACAGTATAAAAAGAAGGGAAAACTCAGAAGCTAGCTCACTGTCAAAGCCACCATCAGACAACTATTTACAGCAGTATTTACACTACTGTGAGTACACCTCTGCCCGATCACGTCCCAGACTGATGGCATTTTGTGCTGGTAATTAAAACAAATCAAGCAGCTCTGTGATTGTTTTGGCGTCCGTGGACAATCGTACACAAAATCAGCATTTAATCACTAGGGTATGTCTTTGGTGTGCAACGTGAGGGGTGACAAAGGTTCAAGACTGAGCCAGCATGCTTACCATAATCTTTCTAAAGTAAGTGCTTCATTTTTGTGTGTGTGTATGTGTGTGTGTGCATGTGTGTGAGTGTGTGAGTGTGTGTGTGAGAGAGAGAAAGACAGAGAGAGAGAGACAAAAGCACCAGTTTGAGTCTCTCAAGTCCTCGGTTAGCTTTCATGTCTGTGATAAATACACTTCTTGCTTCCCTTATTAGGACAAGCTTACCATTATACACTGCACTTTTGGTAAAGCTCCAGTGCTCTGCAATTTACAGCCAAAGGAAGTAGTTTACAAAAATAAGCAAACCCAAGACAAGCATTTCACAGCCACAACATCAGATAAGCCAGAAAGAAATAATCTTCAATGCACATCAAAACCACTTCACAATGACAATTTGTCCAAGCAGATGTTAATCAAGCTTCAGCCTTTGAACACTAGATACCATCAATTACTAACCTTAATTGAAATCACAGTTCTCCAGCTTCTCTGCCAGCATATTCAGAGGATGATGTATTAAGATATTTACAGTAAAGTAAACAATGCATAGTTGCAATGAAATGGAAAATTTTCAGCTAATGGTGTTTGTCAATCCTTTGTCAATTTTTCTGCCTGCCACAGATGTTTTCTTAGCTGTTTCACAAAAACAGGAATCAACTAGCAGAGAAGAAAGACTTTCTCTCCCCCAGGAAAAGAGTACAAAGCCAAGTCTGTACACAGCAGATGCAAAAGAAAGTCCATCTGCTACCAGCTCACAACACCACATGGAGTTTTAAGATTTTATACTGTAGGTAGCCTAGCAGGGTTTGTGTGGACCCCATAAGCATGAAAGGAAGAGAAATGGTAGCCTCAAACTGTTAAGGTAAAAACTACAGCTACAGAGACAGAATGAACAACTTACTGAAGCTGGTAAATCAAAGGTTTATTTGCAATAATTTTCCTCCTATTGCAAGAACTGACTAGTTTTTTAGGAGTTACACCCAAGACAGGAACGACACTGTCTTAGTTTTATGGCCTTTAACTCTGGGCAAGACAACTTGAACTCACAGGTCTCAGCTGAACACCATCGTGAGTGGACAAGCTTTAACAGCACCCCACCTACAACTTAATGTGAGACAAAACAACAGTTACTGAACAAAGCACTTCGAAGAGATCTTTAACCGGCCACCACTCCTGCCACTGACTTATCTTGTTTTAGTTTCTTCAGATGAGTAACATCTGCCACTACTTTTGTTGCACATTTAAATACTAAACAGAAGAGGGAAAGATGTATAAAGAAGTACTTAAAATAACTGCTTCTAATAGCCTTTAATACAGACATTTTGGGTAAGTAATTACAGCAAATTTCACATTTCACCTTCAACCCCTGAGGCTGCACTATTTCTCCACCTCCCCTGAAAGGAACTGAAAGCACTTATTCTTTAGCTCTGTGATACAAAACCGTTTAATATTCTGTTAGCAATTTTTTTCATTTTATAGTTAAATAATTCACTCATTAAAAGTATGTTTATATTGGTTTTTTTTTAAACCAAAATTTAAACACAGGAAACTCATGCAATAGGCAAGTACCTGTAAACATTTATTTTTAACATTTTTTTATCAGATTGTGAACAAAGCAAATGAAATTATATGAGCAATAGTAACTTATATTTTAAGGGAATTAAACAACTGCGAATATTCAAGTATCAGGAATATATTTTTTAAGTCTGCTTTGTTCATTTAAAAATTTTTTCTCCCAACTCTTCACAGTTTACAGGGCTTCCACATTTCAAAGAAACTGTGAATAATGTATACAATGACACAAATGACTTTATGTACTCCAGAGGAAATAAAGGATAGTTTCCATTATCACATCAGTCAAATAACATTTTCACACAAATCTGTTTACATTCACTAAAATGATAACATAATGCTCTTCAGCAATAGTGCCTTATCAACCTAGAAAGCAGTGTAGTAGCAATTAACATAAAATTTAAAAGCTTACACTCATTTTTACCAACAAAAGTTAAAAAAATTGATACCTCTGACATTCAAAAATATTGTTATAAATATGTAAATTCATTTTTTTAAGTAAAATATTTGCATCTCCTTTCCTCCTCCAGGCTTTTGAACTTCTGAGGTCAACAAGGACAAACAATACCACTAGTGTCTCTTTGCAAAAAGCTGGGTTTGCTGTCTGCAAGCAATGGTATCATTTCCATAGCAACCCCCTAACTATTAATTTTCAATTAAAGCAGACACAAAGCGGACAGCCTCAGGCTGGCAGACAGTGTCAAGAGCCCATCTCTGTAGGCAACAGTTTCACACAGCTATCAAGCCATAGGTGCCTCCCGCACAAAGCTGCATCGGGGTACGTCAAGTTTGGCTGGTTACAATGACATTAACCTTCAGTTCAGGCCTAAATAATTTATAGCAAGCTTCACTAAGCACATATAAAGGTGACAAAAACTAGGAAAAGAAATAATTAACTAATGCAAATACCTCCCAATAAACACAAACAATCTCACACACACACAAATGTATTAGGAAGAAGTGTATAACCATTTTGTCAAGTCATTTGTTCCTGAAGAGTCCCACATTCTTTACTATCAGCACACTACTCTTCGATATCACCTGGAAATAACTCCAGGTTATTAAAGAAAATGTTACACTCTGCATATTAGTTTTCACAATCAAATTTTGCTTAACATAAAAGACTATGACTACATTACATTACATAGTAAAACTCCTTTCATTTTATAACCCTATGGCAGGTACGTGATCAGGAAGATGCCACTAAGTAAAAAAATTTTAACTTATATCTTCCAAAATAATCATAGTAATTTTAAAAATAGATTGCTAACCAGACTGTGGTGTTTTCTTTCTATGCCCTTATTATGATTTCTTCCAATAGCAAATCTTTAAAAATATTTTTTAATTTCTTAAACATGAGATGACCTATTAGCAATTCCACTGAACTATAACACTGGTAATTTTGTACTATGACACCTGAGTTTGTTCAAAACAAGCACATTTCAAGGCATAACATAGCAAACATTTTGCTGTATTAAAATCTATTTCAAAAACACATTGAATACCTACTATGTGCCATGCACTGGCTCCATGAAAACTAATCTTGTTTTCCCCCAAAATAGTTATGGAAAAGAATGTATGAAAGGTCAAATTTCCCCCACACTGGATATGATCAGTTGTAAATCCCCTGGACAACTGTCAGCTTTGAGAAGACTTGGTTCTTCTCTCTAGTGCAGAGGGATCTATAAGCAAGACACATCGAATGAGCTAGGACACTGATTAAATACCAATCTTGAAAGCAGCAGAACAAACTAACAGGAAAAAATGCCCAGTGCTATCAAAACTGTAACATTGTAACAATAAAATCTAAACTAAATCGGTGGCATTTACTAAATTGCAGCCACCATTTCAAACAGATAAAAGATGAAATACATATTTTAACAAAACAGAAACATGGAAGAACTGCCTGCTTTGTTTTACAGCAGTACTGTGAAATTCCTTTATTCAAAAATGGTCAAGTCTCCATATTTTGAGCGTTATGCTTACCTTCTATTTAATCTCACATAAAAATGAATATAAACTACAGGGGAATTCTGTGCTTTTTCAAATGTGTGTCTGATTTGAGTTACAGGTGTATTTGTTGTCAGAAACTTGAGTGGGAAAAATTTCATTTCTATTTATTTTAATCAGCATTTTAATACATAACACAGGCTTGGGGCTAATCCCAATTTCCTTTCTATTAGTCTAAGCACATTCACATACCATTACAGTAATCCAAAATCGAAAGCCAGATAAAGAATATGGTATACCTTTGGCGATGTGAGGTTTCAAAACACAGTGTTCTTCTGTGGCCACCACATAAGTTTGGCTCCAGAGTTGCACTGAATCCCAATCTTAATACCTTACTCATGTGTCTTTTTTCCCATTGCCATTTATGTATGCATTTTATCTTCCTGTCCCAAACACTAAGTTCGCTGAGAGTGCAATGTTTTATGTTAGATACTCTATCTACTAGCATAACCTACATATAAAGTCTTGAAATATTTGTTGCCTAAATGAATAAATAAATCTAATACTTAATAGATGAAAGTGACAAGTCTTTTCTTTTTTTTTTTGGCTACTGCCACCTTCATCTACTATTTTCTACTGCCTACACTCCAACAGTATTATTGAGAGGGGTATTTCAGAGAAAGAATAGTTGAGAGATGCAAGTTCGGAAACTACCTGTGTATAGCTATAACATATCCAAGACATCTTTTCCAAAGGCGGTGGTAATTTTTTCTCAAGGAAACACATACTGTTTATTGAAAGTCAACTCTCCTCATCTATACACAGTGATCAATCTCACATGCACTGCCATACTTTTTATGGTAGACAATAGAAGAAATAAGTTTTGTTACATAAAACAAAAAGGAAAATATTTATTGAGCATCTACTACATCCAGGCATATTATGAATGTTTACATGCATCATATCTAATCCTTCCCTCCAGCCTGAAAAGCAGATAATATTACCTTTTTTACAGATGAAGACAGTGGGACTCCCATATTTTAAGTTCCTCAGGGTCAAACAATATCTATGTCTTTTTTGACTCAAATGCCTGTGTTCTTTCTGTTCTGCCACAATGTTTCCCTAATAAACTTTATTTACAGAATATCTTCTACGTACAGAGTACTCTGTTGGGTGTCATGGGAAAGTAGGAGAAGAATTCATAGTAAAATCCGATCTAGTCTCTGCCCTGAAAACTCTCAATCAAGTACTACAGATATGTATCTAACCCTGCCTAGAATATAGAGTATGAGGAATATGTGAAGAGAGTACAACGCCATTTAGTGGTGTGTGTTCTGAACTAGGAAAGATAATAGCTGAGAGAACAAAGAAGTCTATATGGCGAAGATCCCAGTATTGGAACTGCCCCCCAAATAACAGGCAGGATTTTTTTAAGAGGAAATATATTTGACAGTGCTCCAGAAAAAGTGAAGCAAAACTAAAGACATAATGATGAGTTCTATCCCAAGGCAGGCATGTGGTTCAGATAGATTGGAGCTTAGTCAGTCAGTGAGTAATGGAATACACTAGGGTGAGTTAGGTCTGAAACTGGAGGTGTCAGAAGGAGAAGCCCAAATTGTATTCCATGGGCAACAGGGAGTATCAAGATGGTTATCAAATCTGGAGAATTATAAGATTACAGATGTTTTAGGAAAGTTAATTTAGACCAGTTTATATAATAAAATGTATGAAGAGATAGGAATGAGAAAAGCCAAAATCAATTGGAAAACAATCAAACAATAATTCTATGATGCAAGTACTTTCTTTCCCATTTTATAGAAGGAGAAACTGAGGCAGAGAAAAATTGCCAGAATGACACAGCCAATTAATAATTAGGTATGGGAAAATAAGGAAGAGTTAAATAATCAGTTAATATTCATATGAAGAAAATGGAAAAAGATTCAATAAGATGTCCATGAAAATGTATTGAATTTATTCTTCATTAAAAATAACTTGCTTTTTTAAAAGTTTCTTAAAGATGAAATAAAACTATTTTGTTTTATGAAGAAGTGCATGAAGACACTCATACAACTGATATTTTGACATATCTGTAGTTAAGTTCTTGTTATATGCTCTTAGCATTGTATACACTCCATCCTTGGATCTGGGTTAAATAAGAACTAACATCACTGAATGTGCAAAAGTAGGTATTCAATTTATACTAACGATTTCTCATAAGAAGAAAACAAAGATAGACTACAGATTTCAAATGAGAAATTTTAATATATTAAACAAGTTTAATCATTTAATTGCTATTAGATCCATTTAAGGCAATATTATTTGCCAAAAAGACTAAAAAGTGTTGATCTAAACCAAATTTAACGGTCAAAAATTTCTATTGTAAGAGAAATACTAGCACCAGAAGTTCTAAATAGATGGTAAATAAGCAAATAACAAAAACTTTTATCTAACAAAATAAAATGCTTAACCTTTACATTTAGTATATTATTTTGTTTATGATAAATGATAGAACTCTATAGAATTACAGCAAAAGAGATAGGAAGGGTTACTGATAAGACAATGAAGAAAAAAGTAACAAGTACTCTGGTCAATTATTCAAAAATAAAGGTTTGCTTTCTCCTTGCCACTCTGAATTTGAAATTAACAAGTACCAAGTACTTTCTTTAAAATATGATGTCACTGCTGATATGAAAAGATAAGGCACACATTCATTGTATTTATTTATTTATTTATTTATTTTTATTTATGTTTTTGAGAGGGAGTCTAGCTCTGTCTCCCCGATTGGAGTGCAATGGCTCAATCTCATTTCACTCCAACCTCTGCCTCCCAGGTTCAAGCGATTCTCCTGCCTCAGCCTCCTGAGTAGCTGGGATTACAGACATGCACCACCATGCCCTGCTAATTTTTGTATTTTTCGTAGAGACAGGGTTTCACCATATTGGCCAGGCTGGTCTGGAACTCCTGACCTCAAATGATCCACCCACCTCGGCCTCCCAAAGTATTGGAATTACAGGTGTGAGCCACTGCGCCTGGCCCATTCATTATGTTATAAATACTTAGCATTTAATCACCAACATGAACAGTTATCTATTATGTGGAATATATGAATTTGGATATTGTCATGTTTTATACTTCAAGGGTTTAGAAAATTATAGTGAGAAACTATGTGTTACATAAATTTAAACTTAAAAATAATCAAGATCTAAAAAATAAGGCCTAAAGTTTTAATTTTAAACTGTGGTAGCCCAATCTGCTAATTAAACTATGTTACATTTAGTTTTCTTCTGATGTCTTTTTATGACAAAAACTGAGAAAAATAAAAATAACTTGATGCCAAAATGTGAGGATATAAGCTCATAAATGAAACAAGTATTCAAAATAAAGCATTTAAATCATTACATTGTTCAATTTTACAAATAAAATGTTAATCAAAAATTCAGCTTTACATTTTATAGAGTGAAACAAAGAAAATATCATTACACTTGATAATTAAAATATTTTGTATATCCTTTTAAGCAGATTTTTAATTAAGCTGAAATAACATTTGAGAAAGCTGTCCTTGATGAAACATGGACTAATATATAAGAGAATAAAAAACATGTTTTTACTGAATGATGCTAGAATGCTGGTTCTTGGGGCTTTTACAGCTTTACCAGACCTTAACAATCATGTCCTGAAGTTATTAATTCCTAAGCATGCACCCATACTTTTTGCAAAACGCTATAAATAAATACAAAGGTCAAGGAAAACCTAAACTGTTCAAATATTTGCATAGAAATAAAATAGATAAGAATATATGCTTTAGAAAAGCACTGTTTGCTCATAAATGTAATCCTTTTTTTTCTTGTTCTCTGCTGAAGGAAAAGTATTAACATGGTTATTCATATTGTTCAAAAGGCTGATTTAATATTTGTAATCTAGTGCCTCTCACTACATAAAGCATTTTTCTTGTCCCTTTTCTGACAACCATTTCCAGCAGTGTTTCAGGTAAACAACTTAAAAAGTCCACAGTGCAGACTACTGTTAGCACCAGGTTTGTTGTTTATGCTATGAAATTAGTAGAATCTTTCAGACACACAAAAACCACTTGCTACATTTCAGTATAGGAAATGCGTTGCTATTTTCTATGCTATTAAAACACCTTCTTGGTGGTCTGATGTTTGATTGTTATATTAGTGAAGCAATCTAAATTGTAATTCCAACTATTTATCTTTTAGACATCACTAAACCTTCCAGGAATATTTTATTTACTATTTATTTATGAATTTCTTTTGCAGACTGTTAAAATGATTTCGAGAATACAAATGTCAACTTTTCACACGTTTAGACAGTTTTCACACTTTATCTTCCTTTGGTACTCAAAATTTGCATATAATGTAATCTGATTTATTTCCTCTTCCCAAGCCTTCAGCTCTGTCTTTTCCTCTCTTATTCCCTTTTCTTACTATTTCTCTCATTTTCCTCCTGTCTGGTTCTCTCCTTCCCTTCTTCTCTCTGTTCAAGTTACTAAAACAAGCAGACATAAACTTCTCAAAAATAATTCTTAAACGCTTCCAACTTTACTTCTAATTTTGTATTTTAATGGCAATGTTAGTCTAAATTACCATAGGAAAATATACTGTACTGTAGCGATAAAGACAGAGACTTAGGCTAGGGAGAGAGGGAGGAGGTAAAGCGGGAACTGAGGGAGAAAGAAAGGGATAAAGAATAAATATATAAAGAGTGCTTTTATGCCTCGAAGGAGACATTATGGCTTTTACTCTTCCTCTCTCTAGAAAGCAAGTTTTGGATATTCAAAAACACTTTCTTTTTTAACTTTTTCCTCAATTTAGTTGTGACTCAATTCTTTTTCAGAATGGAAACTGCATTATGTAAGTGAGAAAGTTATACATAATGAAATAGCAGTTTCCTCACTTTGTAACAACTATTTTTACAGTGCATGGTGTTTTAATAAGTCATGTATAATGGATATCTGAAAATAAAGCTAAAATGCATATGATAAGGATTCAAATCAGAATAATAAAATCATCACATTTAAATAATTCCATCATGCCACACCTGTACAAACATCACACAACAAATACGAAACTTGTAAAAACCTGTACTTTGAGTTGAGCTAATGTTAAAATAACTGTAACTTATTCTCAAGACTATAAACAAAATTAGTATACTGGAAAATTAACTGATATACATTCAAAACAGCTGGAGCAAAATATGTTTTTTTCTAGCACAGAAAACTAAACTTATTTTTAGTGGAACATGGGGAAAGTAATCCCTACATATGTGAACACTTGATTTTTAATTTGCTAAAACTTTGACACTAGTGCTTTAGAAGCAATCCAATTTCATTTTTCCAATTAGACTTAAAATCTTAAAATTTGTTGCATATACAAATCATACTTCTTTCTATGAATAAATGGTGTAAGTGGACTAGCTAAATATCCACCTGTGTATTACTAAAATTGACAGTTATTTCTCATAACTGGCAATGTCTTATTTTTCAACTACAAATTCTATGGAAATGCTGACCATAAAAAAAGTCAGCATTATCAAAGAAGGGCCATACATATGACAGACTATACAGGTATCACATGATTAAAAAGAGGGAGCAAGAGAGCCAATATGCTATTTATATAAATTTTCCAAAAATAAAAATTTCAAAATCCAGAAATATCATACCAGAAATTTAAATCTCAAAGACTTCATAGTGAATTTTCTATTAAATACTAACGAAAAAATAGTTTGCATCATAGATAACAGTAGCAACCTTAAATAACCATGTATATCACTTAACACTACACCCATTTTCATTTACCCTTTAAACACTACTATTTCTTACCAGTAGGCAGCACTATTACATCTTTTACCTGTTACCAATGTTAACGTTACACAATTCCCTCTGTAACTTATTACACATTATCTGACCTTTTACTTGCCTACTAGCCTCATTATTTTGGCTGCAGGCTATTTATCTCACAGAGATATTCTTTTCTTCCTAAAAGCAAAATTAGCACTAATAATAAAATATTAGCAATTGTCAGGTCCAATATACATGAACGTCAAATGGGAAGTGTGTAATTAATAGATATTACTATTTGTTTTACTCATAGTTTATTCCTTATTTTAATTTAAAAGAAACTGCAATTAAGGGCAGTGTGAAATCGTTTAAGTGAATTTTCACTTCTGAATGAATTACTGCTTTTATAATAAGGAGTATATGGACGTTGATACCAAATTATCTGTTCAAATTACATATCTGTTTTTCAGAAAAAGTAAATTATTTAGAAACCTACACACATAAATGTATAAGGGAAACTATCATATAGTAACACCAGTAAACAATTTATATTCTACCACTTAATAGGGGGCCACATATTCACTTGATCGAATCCATCCTACTTTAACAAAAATTGTTTTCTACTTCATCAAAAAGCACTTAAATGTAAAATGGGCCAACATCAAAATATATTAAGAGAAATTATTTGGTTCTTTCGCTAACTAATCAGAGATACACAGAAAAGGACCTTTTAAGTTTTATGATACCTGCTCATTAAATGATGCTAAACACTAAAATACCACGAACAGCAGGGAATTTCAGTTTACATTAGAGAAAAAAAATAAAAGGGTAAAAATGACTGAAGTTGGTCAGTTCAAGCTGATAGGGCACTTCAAATGAATAACAGAAGAATAAAAGAGACACTCTAGGTTAAATTAGGTTCTCCTATGCCTTTTCTTGAAAGTGGTTAACTTCACAAATTTTATTTGAATTAACTAAACTGACAAAAATCAAAGCAGATATAAAGTTAAACAGGCAACTACACTTCACAGTAGTTTACCTATTATACAAAAGAAAAAACCTTAATTTTAAAAAGGCGATTTTGATTTTTAAATGTGTACATTCCTTTTCTTCACTGAGGCAATTTATATGCTTCATTTCTGAGAAAACATCTACTCCACAGATTAAACATATACAAAGCTGAAGGAGAATAGGTTTATGTAGACTTTAGATCTTCATATATAAGGGAAAATTTTCTCCTAAAAACCAGTATCTGATCATGCTCAATAAAGTGTTATGTAACCAATTAGAACTTATTACATAATACTTATTTTACGTACTTTTTAAAAGGATATTTTCCGTTACAAACGTTTATAAGTTTTTACGTAGAATTTTCACTAATTAAAGCATATAATTTTCCTTGTTTCAATCATATGTCCAAATTCTTATTTACATTTGCCAAACCGACATTTCTCTAAGTCAACTAGACTAAACCTTGACAAAATTGTAAAGTCATAATTATTTGATATTGACACCCCTTCTCTCCACTCATTATTCCTCTCCCCCAACCCACTCATCCCAATTGCACCTCTACCTGTGCTGTTTACCCATTTAATGAATGGTAAGCCATTCATAAAGCTAACCATATATAAAGCTAACTATAGTATTAGTGAATTTACACTGCCCTCCAAGGCAAATGAATGTCCACCTTCTTTAGGAGGGCAGAAGAAAAGAGGGTCAGTCCTTCTTAACCCAAGACATAAGTTGCTGAATAATAAACTATACTGGCAAGTAAGAGGTATGAGGTATTTTGGTCCCCGGGGAATTGCCCTGCAAACTTCAAATGATACCATGTATGCTTTTAGTTAATCTTTTCTTGTATATCTATTAAAATAAGGGGCTTTAGAGAGGGTTCCCCAATAAGGTTCTTTCATAATTTCTTAAAACAATTTCTCCATCACTTTGGAATATTTACCAGCATTTTCTAGGGATTTATATCTGTGCTACCTTTAGGCCATGTAATCAATTATGAATTTCAAAATGCTAGAGACAAGGATAAGGGTAAGCTATAGTATCCTTGTATCACTAGCATAGTATTTCTTATAGACTATTCCACAGAACACAAGTCTCCTGAGATAGTCTGCAATAAATGGGTTCTATGGTAAATAATACTTGAGTCTCCTGTAGATGCAAAAAGACTGTTAACTTATAAAGGCAATGAGAAGTATAAAGAACAGTGATTCACTCTTTTCATTAGTTAACTATTAAACCTCGTGTACATTAGTGTTCTGGGAACATAATTTTTAAATCTGAGTAAGTCTCAGGAATTCCTTGCAAATGTACTATACAATCTCATATCAATTCTGACATACAAAAAATTCTGAGAATCAAGATGGTTTTTGTTTGCTGTGATGCAGTTGATGATAAAACTTGACCTAACTTGAACTCATCTGGCAATAAAACACAACTAAACTTACTTGAGGCCATTAGTGTTTTTATGCATGTATTTCAATGAAGTTGTATTACTGTGTTCAATTGCAAGGTGCTGTTACATAATATACAGACTATGAAGGGGCTGTTACATAATATACAGACTACATAACTTATTACTTAGCTATAATCTAAGGAATTCTGAATTTTGAAATGCATCCCCCAAGGACTTGAGATAAGGGATTGTGGAATCTAGACAGTCTATGAACATAGATGTAGCTGGTAAGGTGTAGAGGCAGTAGAGAAGCAAACAAAATCACTTGCATGTGGTCGGGCATGGTAGCTCCTGCCTGCAATGCAGCATTTTGGGAGGCCTAGGTGGGAAGATCACTTAAGGACTTGAGGCCAGGAGTTTGAGACCAGCCTTGGAAACATAACAAGATACTCATCATTACCAAACAAACAAACAAACAAAAATCAATATCCGGGTGTGGTGGTGTGAGCCTGTGGTTCCAGCTACTCAGGGGGCTGAGGCGGGAGGATTGCTTGAGCCCAGGTATTCGAGGTGGCAGTGAGCTATGATGGTGTCACTGCACTCCAGCCTCCAGCTTGGGTGACAGAGCAAGACCCTGTCTCAAAAAAAAAAAAAAAAATTGCTTGCATGGTTTTTGCAGGGGTGCCATTTAACAAACCATGTGGTCTGAGTCAGCTTGTTTACACCAGCACAGACAACATCGTCTAGCACCCAGTAGGTCCTCAACAAATATTTGTTTACCAGATTAGTTAACTGATGAAGTCTACTGCAAACTTCAGTAGGCAATTGTGTAAACTGTTTGAGATAGGTGGATATATGTTCTTTACACAAATACCTCTAGAGGTGGAGACCCTAGAGCCTCTCTTGAAAGCATCTTGACAGTGAAAATATCATTCTTGATATTTAAATCCTTCTACTTTCATTTTAATTTATATCTTCCTCTTAATTTATGGTCATTGGAATACATGTATTAATGTCCTCTTCTCTAACCTAAAAAGGTCAATTAGGTCTTTCCTCAAGAAATGATGATAGAGAGGGCCTTCATCTCTATTTCATTTGTTTTTCTCTCTTAATTTTATCTATATCTTTTTATTTTTAACTTTTTGTTGTTGTTTTTGGAGACAGAGTCTTGCTCTGTTGCATAGGCTGGAGTGCAGTGGCACGATCTCAGCTCACTGCAACCTCTGCCTCACGGGTTCAAGGGAATCTTGTGCCTCAGTCTCCCAAGTAGCTGGGATTGCAGGCATGTGCCACCATGCCTAGCTAATTTTTGTATTTTTAGAAGAGATGGGATTTCACCATGTTTGCCAGGCTGGTCTCCCAACTTCTGGCCTCAAGTGATCCGCCTGCCTTGGCCTCTCAAAGTGCTGAGATTACAGGCATGAGCCACCATGCCTGGCCTCTATATCCTTTTTAGTATGCTTTTACTTTAGGGTAACAAACTAAGCTGTATATAATATTCTTTAAAAATACTATACATAGCATTTGATTCACTTTGCTTTCATTCTAAATGTTAAACAGAAGTTCACAATGTTGTGTCTTTAGCCATGGGTGAGAGATCAGCACAGTATAGAGAGAATGGCAATGGAATCTAACAGACCTGGCTTTGACCTTCAGGTCCAACCTAAAAATAAATCGCCAAACTGAAAGACAATATTCTTCCTGGGAATATTTTCTCAACTGTTGACACGTGATTGATAATGCCGACCCAGCAGCATTATTGGGGCACTTAAATAAAGCAATATATGAAAAGTACCTGGCAGAAAATAAGTTATTAAGTGGTAGTGATGAGGGGAGTGAAGGAAGGGGAAAAAGACAAGTAGGAGATAACTTTTATGCCTCCATCTCTTCAAGTCAATAGAAGAAACTGTTTCTTTAAAAAAGCAAAAGTTTCAGTGCAAACTTTCTGGAAGGATATGCATCTAAATATTAATGGTGTTCTTGGGTAATTATATAATTCATAGTTTGTATTTTTCTCTTAATATTTATCCATATTATTGGATTCTATGACAACATTTATTTTGCTAGGCCAAACATTAGTCAGGCTATGAAGCTTCTTCTAGGCCCATCTGTGCAAGCCCTTGTAAAACCGTTTTATCAAAAGAACCCTACTAAGTCAGTTTAGCTAGCATCCCCCATCTGATATCTAATCACGTTCCTCACCCTCTACATTCCCTAGGTGATGTCTGATCACCCTGGCCTATGTACAGCAAGAATCCTGTTAGGTAAGTTTACCCAGAATCTCCCTTACTCCTGCTATTTCCTCTTAATAATTTTTCACCCACTGACCCCCACCCTGAGCCTTGATTATAAATTCCCATTTGCCCATGCTGTAATCAGACTTGAGCCCAATCTTGCTCCCCTACTGCAAGACCCCATTGCAGTGGTCCCTGTACCCAGGGGTCCCCAACCCCTGGGCCACGGACCAGTACCAGTCCATGGCCTGTTAGGAACTGGGCCACATAGCAGGAGGTGAGTAATCAGTGGTAGCATTAAGTCCTCATAGGAACGTGAACCCTATTGTGAACTGTGCATGCTAGGAATCTAGGTTGTGTGCTCCTTCTGAGAATTTAATGCCTGATGATCTGAAGCGGAACAGTTTCATCCAGAAGCCATTCCCCCCGACCCCACCCGACTCCTGTCTGTGGAAACACTGTCTTCCATGAAACTATTATCTGGTGCCAAAAAGATTGGGGACCGCTGCCTATACCCATCACAGTGATCCTGAATGAAGTCTTCCTTACCAAGTATCATTGAATATGTTTTTCTTTAACATCTATTCTGATAGGTGTGTATTGCTTTTACAATTAGGAAAATTTGAATCTATATTTTATTTTTAGGAAAAACTGTGTTTCAATATTTAAAGTCAAAAGATTAAATTACATGGGAAATTAATTTATGAGGGACTTCTCAGTCCTTAAAAATTCTGAAGAAATTAGCTTTTACTATAAATGAACAATTATAAGAAATGGAGTTTTACAAATCTATTTAAATTTTATTTTCTTGCATAACATCCCCCACCAAAAACAACAACAACAACAACAACAAAAAACATAAATTTTACAAAGAAAATGATGACTCTGGCCAGGCGCAGTGGCTCACACCTGTAATCCTAGCACTTTGGGAGGCCAAGGCGGGTGGATCACGAGGTCAGGAGTTCAAGACAAGCCTGGCCAAGATGGTGAAACCCCCCCGTCTCTACTAAAAATACAGAGATTAGCCAGGTGCGGTACCAGGCGCCTGTAATCCCAGCTACTCAGAAGGCTGAGGCAGGAGAATCGCTTGAACTCGGGGGGCGGAGGTTGCAGTGAGCCAAGATCGCGCCACTGCACTCCAGCCTGGGTGACAGAGTGAGACTCTGTCTCAAAAAAGGAAAAAAAAAAAAAAAAAGAAAATGATGATTTTGACACTTCGAAATTAAGGTTTGGATGTATTCTCTGTCTCCCTTTATACTGGTCTGTTTTTTGTCCCAATACCCCTTACTAGCTTTAACACACAGTATTATTTATTTATTTAATTGAATTTTTAAAAATTGTTTTCCTCTGCCTCCACCTCCACTGAAGTATAAACCCCAAGAGTCAGGAACGTCTGTCTTCTTGTCTTCTTTTGGTTCATGAATGTGTCCCAAGGTCTTAAAACAGTGTCAAGCACATAATTAACATTCAATAATCATTTTTAAAAGTATACCACAGAAAAAGTAACAGGTGGGTAAAAAAATGGGAAAAGTTTTGCAAAATCTAAAACCATCAAATATTTAATACCCAGAATATATCAGGAATTCTTGTAAGCCAGTCAGAAAAATAAGAAAAACTGAAAAGAAAAAATAAGTGAAGGCTGGGTGCATTGGCTCACACCTGTAATCCTAGCACTTTGAGAGGCCGAGGTGGGTGGATCACCTGAGGTCAGGAGTTCCAGACCAGCCTGGCCAACATGGTGAAACCCTGTCTCTACAGAAAATACAAAAGTTAGCCAGGCATGGTGGCAGGTGCCTGTAATCACAGCTACTCGGGAGGCTGAGTCAGGAGAATCACTTGAATTGGGGAGGCAGAGGTTGCAGTGAGTCAAGATGGCACCACCGCCCTTCAGCCTGGGCAACAGGACTCTCTGTCTCAAAAAAAAAAAAAAGAAAAAGAAAAAGAAAGTCAGAAGATATGAATATTCAATTTACAGAAAGTCAAGCTGAGCAACTGATCTTCTGTAAGCAGATCATGAATCTTATTGATAATCAAAATAATGCAAAGTGAGAACAACAGTGAAGATATGACTTTGAAACTACTGCCAAAAATTAAAATATTAGATAACCAGCAACTACAAACATATGGTGCTCACTACCTGCCAAGTGTTGGTCTGAGTGCTTTCAATTAATTCACAACAGCTTAGAGATAGCTACTACTTTCATCTTAATTTTAAAAATGAATAGAAAGCCTTAGTGAGGAAAACTTGTTGCTGAGAGAGCTTAATGTGACTTCGTCCAGAGTCCTACACTATTACTCCTGGATATATGAACCCAAGACACATTTCTGTGTTTCTGGGTTTTGTTCCAGAAAAGCTGTAGTAATTTATACTGTGCACACAAGTGCTCATCTCACTTTACCCATACCAACATCTTTTAAAAATATTCCTAATAAAGCAATCGTATGGCATTATTGTTTGTAATTTATTTGAAAAACTTGTTACCGAATTTAAATGTTTTCTTCATGTTCATTGGCATTTACAATTTGCAAATTTCCTGTTCACAGCTTCTTGTCCATTTTTATATTTTTGTATGTTTTCATTGATTTTAAAGTAGACTTCATAAAATATTAAGTATATATAAGTTTTGATGCATTTTTTGCAAATATCTTCCCAGTTTATTTCATTTTTATATAATCTGATCCCATGTCTCTTTGTGATTCCTTTCATTTATTGTCTATTTAAGAAGTATTTTTTCCAATATAAGATTAAATTAATACTTGCATAATTTTGGTTATATTTTAGATGGCTATAATTGCATCTTTAAATATATTAAGAATTTTACATATGGTATTTTTGAAAAACGTAATTTTTTACTGCAAATATCCAATTTACTCAAGACTTATTGAAAATCTAACCCTCTGCTCTTAGTTTAGACTACTTTCTTTTATTATATGTTAACTTTAAAATTAAAGGTCTATATCCATTATAACTCCTTCTCTTTGTCTTCTCTTTTGTCTTCTCTCTTGGTTAATGCAGCCACTCTCCATCGAATTTCTCAAGAGAGAAAAAAAGAAAAAAAAAACTTAATCTTCGATTTCTCTCTTCTCAGTTCTTTCATATAAACTGCTGGAATATCATTTCAATTCAAACTCCAAATCTTCCAATGGATCACTTGGATCTCCACTCCTGCCACCCTTGTTTGTTTAAAGCACCATCTCTGGTCTGACCTAATAAATTACCTCCTAATTGTTAGCCCTGCTATGCTCTTGCTCTTTAAAAATGTAAATAAAATTGAGTCAGTCTCCTGCTGAAAACCCTCCATGGCAGTCCACTGTACCAAGAACCCATGGGATCTGGTCCAAAGATGACTCTTCAGCCTCATCTCATTATCATTCTTCCCTTTCTTTATCTTGTGTCCTGCTTTGGCCATATTAATTTTCTTATTGTTTCTCACTGCCATCTTAGGGTATTTTAACATCTCTTCAATCTCTTTGCAACGCTCCTTCATTGTAATGTAGTCTTTCTTACAATTCAAATTCAGCTTAAATTTCACTTCCTCAGTGAAGCCTTCCTGTAAAACCCAGTATGAAGGAGCTCCTCCATCACCCCCTTATATTATCCCGTTTTCTCTACATCATATGGAAATATTAATGTTGATTTTTCTATGTTTATTGTCTGTTGCTTTCTCTCAGGTTCCACGAAAACAGGAAACATATCTGTCTTGTTCAATGCTCTATTCTGCATTCCTAGTATAGTGATCGGTATGGGATATATGGTTAATAATTGTTGACTGAATATATAAATAAATGGATGTTTTCCCATTTACTGTTATTTTTTCATATATAAAAATCTCAGATAAACTTTTAAATTTTTAAATTTTAAAGTATTTTACATAAATCTCCACCCGAAATCTCTTCACTATTCCGAATTATTTTGTGCTTTTCATTGCTTCTATTCATTTATTTTATCTTCTTTCCAATATATGGAAGAACTATAAGATATGTTAGTATATATTTTTAATTTAGTAATTATGAAGGAGGTAATAGTTATTTTCAGGCTAATTATATAATGATATGTTTTTAAGAAAATTGTTTTACATAGATGTAATTTCATATATTTACCATGTATGACATGATGTTTTGAAGTGTATATACCTTGTGGAATGACTAAAGCTAGTTAATTAACATATGCATTACCTCACATCGTTATCATTTTGTGGTAAAATCACTTCACATTCACTCTCTGAGCATTTTTCAAGAATACATTATATTCTTGAAATATAATGTATAGTCCCTATGTTGTGCAGTAGAGCTCTCAAACTTATGCCTGCTGTCTAACTGAAATTTTGTATTCTTTGATCAACATCTCTCCAACCCCACCACCACCACCACCACCCTCTCAACCCCCTAGTAACCATCATTCTACTCTATACTTCCATGAGATCAACTTTTTTAAGATTCCACATATGAATGTAATTAGTATAGCCATTATGGAAAACATTATGGAAGTTACTAAAAAAAAATTAAAAATAGGACTACTGAATCCCATTACTTGGATATATAGCCCAAAGAAAATGAAATCAGTATGTTGAAGAGAGATGTGCACTCCTATGTTTATTGCAGCACTGTTCACAATAGCCAAGACATAGAATCAACCAAAGTGCCCATCAATGGATGAATGGATAAAGGTAGTTAGTATTCAACCATAAAAAGAATAAGATCCCATCATTTGCAACAACATGGATGGAACTGGAAGTCATTGTGTTAAGTGAAATAAACCAGGCACAGACAGACAAACGTTGCATGTTCTCACTTATTTGTGGGAGTAAAAAATTAAAACAATTGAATTCATGGAGATAGAGAGTAGAGGGATGGTTACCAGAGGCTGCAAAGGGTAGTGGAGGGGTTGTGGGGGAAGATGAGATAGTTAATGGGTACAAAAAAAAATAGAAATAATAAATAAGGCCTACTATTTGATAGCACAATAGGGTGACTAAAGCCAATAATAATTTAATTGTACACTTTAAAATAACTAAAAGAATATAATTGGATTGTTTATAACACAAAGGATAAATGTTTGAGTTGATGGATATACCATTTATCCTAATGTGATTACCTACTGTATGCCTGTATCAAAATATCTCATATACCACATAAATGCCTACTATGTAGTTAGAAAAAATTTTTTTAAAAAAAGAAAGAAAACGTGACCCCCCCTGCCCCCACACACTAGATTACCATTCAGTCATAAAAATGAATGAGAAATCCTGTCATTTGCAACAACATGAGTGAACCTGGAGGACATTATGTTAATTGAAATAAGCCAGACACAGAAAGACAAATACTATATGATTTTCACAGAAATTTTTAATCCTGCTCTCTCAAATCTACATCTCATGTTTTGGTCATATCAAGTTAAACTAGTAATAATATCTTTTAATAAAATCTCATTGACTTCTTAAATGTATATAAAAGTATTCTGGGTATGAGGCTCTCTTACACATAAAAATTCCTTGCTTTCTCTTTATCTAAAAAGTGAAATTCAGATCTCAGAATCTGGCATTCTAGGCTCCATGTATTTCCTTTCAAAATTTACTTTCCTATTCTTCCTAGTAAACCCCATGCTTGAGCCAACCTATACACTTCAATACTTCCCAAACCTCTGAGCTTATGCTCCTGTCTTTTTCCTCTGCTGCAATGCCATAACACTTAATATAATTTTTCTCAATGTGCCTCCATGGCATCTTTTAAAGCATAGTCATCAGAAATTAACTCCTCTTCCTTTTGGGTTGACCCACTCAAGCATTAGTATATTTTATTTGTGGATATCTGGCTATTTCTAATAAATTATAAACACTCAACAAATGTATTGAATTAATGGCTCTTTTTCCTGCCATCATTGTCAGTTCTTACAGAGAAGTTGGGAAAATACTGTCATAGTCACAAACTTACAGAAAAGTTGTAAGTATAGTACAGATAATTTTTTTCCTTAACTGTTAAAGACCAACCTAACTCCCACTTGCCTCCCAATATTTCAGTGTACATTTCTTAGAAACAAGAATTTTTTCCTGCATCACCATGGTACTATCAAAATCTGGAAACTGAAAATGATACATTATTCACACGATCTAATGCTCAGCCTCCTTTCAAGTTTAGTCACTTGTCCTAATAATGTCCTCTCTAGCGAAGGGATCCAGTTCAGAATCACACATTGTATTTAGTTTTCATGTCTCTTTAGTCAGCTCCAGTCTCGAACAGTTCCTTCAGTCTTTCTTTGATTTTCATGACCTTGACACATTAGAAGATCACAGGCCAGTTATTTTGTAGATGTCCCTTAATTTTGGTTGTCTGTGTTTCCTCATGATTAGTTTCAGGTTATGCATCTTTGCCAGGCATAATACAAAGGTGATGCTCGTTTTTCTCATTATATTCTATCAAGTGGGACATGATTTCAGGGTATCTCTTATAATGTTCACTTTGATCACTTGATTAAAGTGATATCTGCCAGGCTTCTCCACTGCAGTTACTTTTTTTCTCTTTTGTAATTAGTAAACATTTTGTTGGGAGTTATTTTGAAACTATATAAGTATCCGATTCCTCACTGAACTTTTCAATTTCTATATCTGTGTGTAGGGGTGTTTGCTTGTGTGTGTGTGTGTGTGTGTGTGTGTATAGATTCATATTTCTCCCTTTATTCAACGGTTTATAATTATTTACTTTATAATGAATTTACCTTGTAATTATTTGTTATTTACTTTCAAGCTCCAAATGTCTCCAATTTAATCAGTGGGAGCCTCTTCAAGTTGGTTTCTATGTTCTTTTAGCATATTCCCATCATTCCTTAAGTGTTTCCTTAATTTCTGGCACAAGATGCTCCAGGCTTATTTTATACTTTCCCTGTCCCAGTTATGCAATCAAGCCCAGTTTCCTTTTAGAGGAAAATGGTATTTAGAAAGGAAGATCTGGGTCCTAGGTGTGCTAATTGCTTTTGGAGTACTGCAGTTTCCGGGACCTTTCAGCGGACAGAGCAAAGGGATCTCTCTCTCTCTCTCTCTCTCTCACACACACACACACACACACACACTCTCACACACACACACATGCACACTGACACATATATTTACATCCACAATAATTTCTATATCTATAGAAAATCATGAGTTCACACCAATATGCCTTCCGATTCAACACACTAAGGTTCATTCAAGTTTTCTGCCTTTCCAGATTTGTACCTTGAACAATGAGAAATTTGACTCCCATTATCCTTAATATGTGTACTTATGTGATCAATTCCCTGTGTACAACTCATTTCTCACCTTCCCCTCCATTATTCTCTTATGTGGATGCCCTCTTCTCTCAACCTGGGTTCCAACAACCCATGCCAGGCTGTTCTTCCACATAGATGCCTTCTTCATGCTGCTGAGGCTCTGACACTCTGTATCCCTTCTGGAGATATGTCCTTACCTTTCATCTGTGGTTTTGACTCCCCACACCAGGCTGCCTACCCCATAAGGACGCCCCCTTCAGCCTACTCCGGCTCTAATTTTCCATGCCAGGCTGCTCTTCTATGTGGATGCCCTCCTCTCTCTGGTCAGACTCTGACATTATGTGTAAGACATCTCTCATTTGTATACACCTTCCTTACTCTGCTTGGGCTCTGACACATTGTTCTGGGTCACTGTAGCTCCATCACACTGCTGGAACAGACACCTACCATTTTTTTGCCACAAGCAATGGCTGTAAGACTAAACTGCTCAAAAAGAGAAGGGAAAAAAAGAAGAAGGAAATGTAAGGTAGAAGGGGAGATGAGGAGTCGTTGTTATTTTAAGAAGAAAGTTTCTTAAACATACTTAAGTAAAAATATTATAACTACTTTGGCTTAGGGAGCATGGGAAATTACATAAGTAATAACTTATCCAGAACAATTGAATTGCACATCACCCTGATATTCTATGTACTTTTTGTGTATGTCTCAACTACCATAATTACAATGACTATGCTAAGTTCATTATATACTGAACACATACTGCTTTCCTCACCAGAATCTGGATTTCTTTTTTCCTGAGTACGGAAACTTCCCAGCCATGTGGTTTAAATGGCCTTGAATCCACCCCAAGCTCTGTACGTCAGCACTGATTCTCTTAAACCCATCCACTTACCTCATCCTCCAGGCTACTGTAATTAGTTCAGAAATGGGCATGGAATGAGGCCTTAACCAACTGGCACATTCCATTCATCTGACACTGGTTCAAAAGTAGGCACTTACTAAGTTGGTTCTGAATGACATGACCTGGGAATACTAGGATACAAATTCAGTCTTCTGTGAGTTTTTGATGTGAGGTTGTAGGTCTTGGGATTACTGTAAGAAGAGAGCCTAAAGCTGAGTGGGGTCACTGTGTGGAGCCTGACAATGAAAGAAGACCAGAGACATCAGAGCCATGGGAAGGAAGCTCATTATTTATTTCTATCAGAAAAGCTTCACTACCAAGAGGCAATTCATACTATTTTATTTACTATCCCAGTTGATCAGAGAAGCACTCAAGGATTCTGCTTCATAGGGGAACTCACTGTTGATTCCAAAAGATCATTCCACTGCTGGACATTTAAACCTAGCTAACCCATCTCTGCACCATGACCCATTTACTCCCTAAAAGCAGGTCAGGAATGAACGACTGTTCTTGGCAACACTTTAAAACCTTCCTCATTTACTCTCAGTTATATTTGCATCACCCTAGTTCCTAGGTTTCTGGTCCCCCAAGTCAATTGTGGCTTCTAGCACCTTATGTTGGACACTCCAACCACGCATACTGGCCTACTGAACTTTGGCTTCCCAAGAGGATCTCAACACTGGTTTTGATTTTCTGTTTTGGCCAAAATCCTCTTCTCCATTATATCTACTGGAAAACTGTCTGCTTCAGCTTCCACTTGACAGAATCTCACTATGTGAGCATCCTTTACTTCTTCTTGGGCATTGTGAGATTCAGGCACATTGAACAAATTATGACATTCTCATTCTGTGTCAGGCACGGTATTAAAGATCTTGACAACATAGTTTCCCCTTGACATAAATAAGATATAAATAATATATTATTAATTAATGCAATGAAATTATTTTACTTAAAATCACCACATATGTGAGTTCTGTCATCATGCCTTCATTCTAAAGACCTAGTATGCTTTTCAGAGTACAGAGTTTGACACAAACTAGAATTAATAATGATTTTATTTAAATCCCATTCATACATTCTGAAACTACCATGTTCATGTGGACATTTGAGTGTCACGTATTTTCTCAGCTTACAACAAGATCAGTTGATAATTCTTAGACATCTGGTTAGCCATGGACAGAAAGGCTTACGTTTTATGGTTTGTGTCTTCTGAAAAAAGTATATTTTAAATAGGAATATGTTAAGTTAGTATTTGTGGAGAGTTCCATTACTACCTTCAGTCACAGAAACATTTATCAAGACCTTGGAACAAGCCAGGCACTATGGCAGTTTCTGCAGACACCATAGTGAGCAATAAGATGTGTTCCATACCCTAGTGAAGCTTCTTTCAATTGTGAAAGGCAAATATTTATAAAAGTACCACACCAAAAAACATGCAATCACAAAGCTCCTTAAGTTTCATTTGGATTTTTCCCTTGTATTTGTATAGGCACATCTTGAGTAAAATACTTAGAAAAAATTTTAAACCAGGAATCTTAACTCACCCAGTCTAAGCAGATGTTTAACCCAGTGAAGAAGCAAGGTAGGACATGTGACACATTAGCAGATGCATGCCCAGTCTAAAGGGGCATGTCGCCAAATGGAAATGTGGGCTTAGTGTTGCCAGAGCTGCATGTTTTCCAGAGAAGTCAGATTTTTTTTTTTTTTCCTGAGATGGAGTCTTGCTCTTGTCGCCAAGGCTGGAGTACAGTGGCACAAGCTTGGCTCACTGCAACCTCCGCCTCCCGGGTTCAAGCGATTCTCCTGCCTCAGCCTCCCAAGTACCTGGGAATACAGGCACCTGCCACCACGCCCAGCTAATTTTTGTATTTTTAGTAGAGATGGGGTTTTGCCATGTTGGCCAGGCTGATCTCCAACTCCTGACCTCGTGATCTGCCCACCTCAGCCTCCCAAAGTGCTGGGATTACAGACATGAGCCACTGTGTCTGGCCAAGAAGTCAGATTTTTTAATGTTGAAAACCAATTTAAAAATTATGAGGCAGGCTGGGTAAGGTGGCCCACATCTGTAATTCCAGCACTTAGCAGGGCCAAGGCAGGCAATCACTTGAGCCCAGGAGTTGAAGACCAGCCTGGGGAACATGGAGAAATCCTGCCTCTAAAGAAAGAAAAAAAAAAATCAGCTAGGTGTAGCCATAGGCAGCTGTAGTCCCAGCTACTCAGGAGGCTGAGGTGGGAGGGTTACCTGAGCCCAGGGAGGTTCAGGCTCCAGTGAGCAGTGATCATGCCACTGCATTCCAGCATGGGCGACAGAGTAAGACCCTGTCTCAAATAACCAACTAACTAACTCACTAAATAAATAAATAAATAAATAAATACATAAATAAAACAAAAGTATGGTGCCAAACAAAACATGTACGTGGATTTGGCCTGTAAGTCAACAGTTTAGAATATATAATATAACAAATGGTGAAGTCCAACTTTTTGATAATCTGAATTAATACTCTCAACTCAAGTCTTCAGTAATTTCTCATAAACAAATTCAGGCTCTGCTCCTGAGCACCAGTTTACTCTGTAGAATGAGTAAACTACCCAGTAGGTGGTGTTTTATAGTGACATTTAACAAGTGATAACTTTGATACATTTTGTTATATTTCATTTTAAAATAATAATGACTCATTATTCACTTCCTTTATCCCCAGTAGTTATATACTGTACTGTTTAAGCTAACTATAATACATGCTTTTTAAAAAATTTTTGAATTTTTCATATGTATCTTGAAATTACGTTGTTTTACAATATTTACACCACAGAAAACCTTTCACTGTCACTAATCTTTTTTTTTAACTTGTTATGCTTTTTTTTTTTTTTTTTTTTGACACTGAATGTCACTCTGTTGCCCAGGCTGGAGAGCAGTGGTCCGATCTCAGCTATCAGCAACCTCCGCCTCCCAGGTTCAAGTGATTCTCATGCCTCCACCTCCTGAGTAGCTAGGATTACAGGAGCATGCCACCATGCCCAACTAATTTTTGTATTTTTAGTAGAGACAGGGTTTCACCATGTTGGCCAGGCTAGTCTCCAACTCCTGACCTTAGCTGATCCACCCACCTCGGCCTCCCAAAGTGCTGGGATTACAGGCATGAGCCACTGCGCCCGGCCAAACTTGATATGCATTTTTAAATAAGTTAATACATTATTCATGGTTTAGTCTCATTATATATTCTATGGTCCACTTTGAAATTTCATCTAACCAAAATCATCTTCATCCTGCAATTTGAGGTTTGGACACAATGGGGATTGATCAGTAATTTCTTCATATGCCCTTTCTCAAGGAAATAGTTTCCTATGAAAAAAAAGTCCTATGTTTTCATGTAAGTTCTCTTTTTGGAGAAGAAAAGGAGACATTCTTACTTAGCACTCTCAGTTTTACAAAACGCTGCCAACCTTAAAATTTGTCTATTGATTCCCAAGGCACACAACCAATAGTCTGTCAATAACCCGGAATAACATTTCTTTAAGGCCCCAGTAACTTTCACATGTTTGGGTTCCAATCCTCACCTAGAATCTTGTTAAGAAAAGTAAACCATTCACTCCTCTAGAAACTCTAAGGTTGCTTCTTAGGGGTCATTAGAAAACTGCACAATGTGTCATATTGTCTTGGTATGCTATAAAATTAGTTTTACTGAGTTCATTTTGGAACAGTATCTTTATTTCATCAGGATACACTAAAATAAACAGCTTCAGGTTAAGTGTTACAACATTCACTATACCTATGATATGAAGGAATATGTCTACCATGTCATTCAGGAAAAGCTAGTATAGCTAAAGAGAGTACAATACGTTTGGCTTAAGCCAAATTTGCAGTCCACATTTCATAATTACTGTAGCATTCTATTCTTATTTTGTGTTGATTTTCACACTCTAATATCATCAGTAATATTCAACGTCCTAACTTATTTCTAAGACTTCTATTTTACTGATGCATTCTAAAAAGTTCTATAGTGGCCTAAATGATTAAAAGCAGATAAGCTTAGTATAATTACTGACAATTCCCATCTAGTTTTCTTTGACAAATCCAGTGCTTTATAACATTTCTAATATATGCATTTTAACTATTTTTCCTCTATGCTGTTAAGTTGTCTAAATTTAAATATTTGTTAAGAAGCTTGGAAAGGTGAAAAATAACAAGTAATTGTCCATGGCTGAAATTTAAGAAATTTTGTTATAATCTCCTTTCTTTTTCTCTAACAGTATATTTTTTACCAGTTAGTAAAGTGTATGATCTTATAAATTCTAAAATGTGGCTATCAGAACTCCTGCTGGTAATAACGACAAAACTTTTTAAACAGCAAGAAAGATGTAATGGGAAAACTCCAAAGTAGTGGTAAGGAGACAACAGGATCATTCAGTTTTAACCTCCCAGGAGCTTCACAATTCAACAATCTACTTTCTGAGAAGGTCTATGATTTTAAAATGCAAAACTCTCAGAGACTAAAAAAAAAAAAAGAGATAAGTTCCTTGTCAACTTACTTAGTGAATTTTCAGATGGCACAAACTGCCATTTTAGACCATTTTTTTTTTACCAGAAATATAACAGGATTGAAATATGTGGTTACAACTAGCCTAAAGGTGGGGCTCATTTTACAATTCAGCTTTGAGAGGCAAAGGCCCACAAGCCAAATCTGATAAGAGTGTGAGAAGGACACCTGCCTTAATAATTGTGGGAAACTCTCCAAAGAAGTTAAAGTGAAATAAATATGACTAAAGAGATTTTACTAACCAGTTGGCCAAACCTAAACCTTTGCAAGTGTTGGTGTAACTCACTTGGTATATCAATGACATTAATCTTGCACCTTTCTCTGTCAAGTTATATATTAAAATATGAGGATATAATATTGGGAACTCTATGACTGAAACCTTAAGATAAACTTGAAAAATACAGTTGAAAATGAATGGTGCGAGGAAGCAATCCTATTGCAATAGGTCTTTCTAAATTTCAAAATCTTTTATTGTTCTGATAGGGCTCTAATTCCTCCATAACCCCTCCCTTTCTACTATTGTTTTCAACAGCAATATGCTAACTAATGGATTTTAAATTAATTAATTTACCTTGTCTATTGCATAAGAAACCATGCCAGGATTTCATTAAGAAATAGTAAATCTTGTAATAATTTATAAGAATTTTTTTACTGTGAATATTTTCATAAATTCTACAATGTTTATACCCTTTTTCTGTTCTTCCCATCAAAAGTTGTTTTGTGTGTCTATTGAGCTTGCTAACTTTTCTTGCATATTCACATCTTAGCCAAAATTTTGGCTGTTAGACACGTTGTAAAAAGCATACACTTATTTGGCCAAATCTCCTCAGTCCTCCAAAAAACCTAAATAAAAGGTTAAATCTGATTTCCAGCCATTCCCCAAGAGCAATCATGTGTTTTCCTTTGGGAGAAGAAGGAAATTCTTAACAAGTCAGAATTGACTCATGTATTCTAGTCCTGAACTACAGTAAAGTGGCATCAGCATTGTACTGTGTGGCATGTCAGGATGGAAACTGAATATAACTTCCTCAAGAGAAGAGAATATTTTTTAACCAAATATTTAATACTCCAATGAGAATTTTGAAGAGTAACATATGTTTTTCATAGAATGACTCTACTCCCCAAAATACAGGTGTTATCAAAATCCAAGTGAACAATAATTTTCATAAAATAAATAAGCAAGAGATTGAATGAATGAATAGAACTTGGAAGAAACCTGCAGTATTAGAGAGTAACTGAGGCTTTAACATATATGTATTTATATTTTCTTATCTATGTTTATATAGCACTTAACTTTTGAAGTTAAATTTAGTAATGTGTCACAGAAGACTGGGTAAGTTGCTTTTCTAAATAATTTTTCTGATGAGGTAAGTTGTTCACAATCATCTCCAATCATGTTTAAATGTAAAATCAAAAAGCTCATTTGAAAGAACAGATGGGGGATATTAAGTGAAATAATTATTTTCATTATTATACTTTTCTGTGTTTCTGAAAGTTTTCAACAGTAAGTAGATATTTCATTTATATGAAAAAAGAAAACTAAATGTCATTGAATAATTACAATAGCAAGATATGCAGATGCCTACTCAGAAATAGCCTGAAATCCCTGATCCCCAAATAGTTTAAGAAATTATCCTCCTCTCCTTTTCCCTCTTGTCTCTATGTATGTTGGCTGCTTCTTGGGATTAACCTTCACTTCCAATATTTTCCCTGTGCATTGACTGTAAATCTGGTTCAGTGTGACACCTTCAAAGGTGAAACCAAAAATAGTGAAAGACAAGAAGGATGAATATGACTCCCACGGTCTGCTCCCTGGCTCCTTCCACTACAATCTTGTGCCCAGGAGAAACCCTCATCTCTGAAGTAGTTTATAGGACTTCTATGATCCAGGGTAGCCTGAATCTGTTTTGCCATTTCCTAAAATGTTCTGCCTTTGGTAAACAAATTACACTATTAGTACATTTTTGTGCTTTTGTTTTTCTAGATCAAGTAATGTTTTAAAAAGCTTAAAATTTTTTTAAAAAGCTTAAAAAGCTTTAAAAAACCCATAACAGCAACCCCCTTTGGGTTCCCTCCCTTTGTATGGGAGCTCTGTTTTCACTCTATTTCACTCTATTAAATCTTGCAACTGCACTCTTCTGGTCCACATTTGTTATGGCTCGAGCTGAGCTTTCGCTCACCATCCACCACTGCTGTTTGCCACTGTCGCAGACCCACCGCCGACTCCCATCCCTCTGGATCCGGCAGGGTGTCCGCTGAGCTCCTGATACGGCGAGACTCCCATTGCCACTCCCGATCATGCTAAAGGCTTGCCATTGTTCCTGCAACGTTAAGTGCCTGGGTTCGTCCTAATCGAGCTGAACACTAGTCACTGGGTTCCATGGTTCTCTTCCGTGACCCACGGCTTCTAATAGAGCTATAACACTCACTGCATGGCCCAAGATTCCATTCCTTGGAATCCGTGAGGCCAAGAACCCCAGGTCAGAGAAGACGAGGCTTGCCACCATCTTGGAAGCGGCCCGCCACCATCTTGGAAGTGGCTCGCCACCATCTTGGGAGCTCTGTGAGCAAGGACCTCCGGTAACATTTTGGCGACCACGAAGGGACATCCAAAGCTGTGAGTAATATTGGACCACTTTAGCTTGCTATTCTGTTCTATTCTTCCTTAGAACTGGAGGAAAATACTGGGCATCTGTTGGCCAGTTAAAAATGATTAGCATGGTCGCCGAACTTAAGACTCAGGTGTGAGGCTATCTGGGGAAGGGCTTTCTAACAACCCCCAACCCTTCTACTGCGGACGTTTGTCTGCCTGGAGCCAGCTTCCACTTTCAATTTTCTTGGGGAAGCCGAGGGCCGACTAGAGGCAGAAAGCTGTTGTCCCGAACTCCTGGCAGTAGCCGGCTGAGATCATGGCACAGCCAGAATTCTCTACTCAGCAGTTGCCCATGTGTGCGCCCCTACCTTTCCTTCTGAAGTATACCTCTGGGGTCCTGACTGTGACTTTCTTGAAAGCGTAGCCGCAAAATTCTCCTGACCTCTGAATCTACTTCCTCTGATCCCTGCCTCCTAGGTACTAATGGTTCAGACTTTCATTTCCTCTAGCAAGTTGTATCTCCGAAGGGATCTAAGGAGGCTCTATGCTATGTCCTTAGGCACCTAGGCTATAACCCAGGGAGTCTTATCCCTGGTATCCCTCCCGATTTAGGTATACAGCTCTCGACATGGGCAGTTATGTGGGACCCGTTCCCCACCACCCTTGCCAGGGCCCCGAGTTTGTAATGGCTAAGAGGGAGAGAGGGAATTAGAGAGAGAGGGGGGGAGAGAGAGACAAAGAGGGAGTCATAGAGAAAAAGAAAGAAAAAGATAGAAATAGTTAAAAAAAAAAGTGTGCCCTATTCCTTTAAAAGTCAGGGTAAATTTAAAACCTATAATTGATAATTGTCACTTTGTTGTCAGTGTAAATAAGGGCGTAGCAAATCCTTAACCCAGTAACCAAGGATGGGCCAAATGCATTCAGTCGGTAGCGACAACTGCTTTGCTAAAAGTAGAAAAGTAACTTTTAGAGGAAACCTCGTTGTGAGCGCACCTCACCAGTTCAGAGTTATTCTAAGTCAAAAAAAAGCAAAAAGGTAGCTTACTAACTCAATAATCTTAAAGTATGGGGCTACTATGTTAGAAAAGGGTAATGTAACTCCAACCACTGATAATTCCCTTAACCCATCAGATTTCCTAACAAGGGATTTAAATCTTAATTACCACACAAAGGTCCGACCAGACCTAGGAGGAACTCCCTTCATGACAGGATGGTAGATGGTTCCTCCCAGGTGACAGATGGGTACTGAATACAATGGGTATTCAGTCATTGATACGGAGACTCTTGTGGAAGCAGAGTTAAAAAATTGCCTAAGAATTGGTCTCCTCAAATGTGCGAGCTGTTTGCACTCAGCCAAGCCTTAAAGTACTTACAGAATCAAAAGACTATCTCAATCCTGACTCAAAAGGTTAGCTATACCCTCTCTGAAATGAATTTGCATAAGAACTGTTGTTTATGGGAATGCATCTTGATGGGTCAGCTGGGTTGTTATGAAATACTCAGGAACCCAGCCCAGCTCTAGGACTCACCCCTGAGCACAAAGGCAATGCTGGGCATGCTGGTAAAGGACCACTAGAATCCAGCAGCCCGGACCGCTTTCTTTGTGGTCAAGAAAGGCAGGAAAACAGGTGCAGGACTGCTACATCGGCGAGCGTAACTAATCCGATAAGCAGAGGTCCATGGGTGGTGACACACCCTGGAAAGGAACTCACCTCTGAGCACAAAGGAAATGTTGGGCACACTGGTAAAGGACCACTAGAATCCAGCAGCCCGGACCCCTTTCTTTGTGGTCAAGAAAGGTGGGAAAGGGAGTGCAGGACTGCTACATTGGTGAGCATCACTAATCTGATAAGCAGAGGTCCATGGGTGGTTACGCACCCTGGAAAAGAATAAGCATTAGGCCCTTAGAGGACGCTCTAGGACTAATGCTCATCGGAAAATAACTAGGGGTGCTGGCATCCTTATGTTCTTTTTTCAGATGGGAAATGTTCCCCCCAAGGCAAAAATGCCCGTAAGATGTATTCTGGAGAATTAGGACCAATTTGACCCTCAGACGCTAAGAAAGAAACGACTTATATTCTTCTGCAGTACCGCCTGGCCACGATATCCTCTTCAAGGGGGAGAAACCTGGCCTCCTGAGGGAAGTACAAATTATAACACCATCTTACAGCTAGACCTCTTTTGTAGAAAAGAAGGCAAATGGAGTGAAGTGCCATATGTGCAAACTTTCTTTTCATTAAGAGACAACTCGCAATTATGTAAAAAGTGTAGTTTATGCCCTACAGGAAGCCCTCAGAGTCTACCTCCCTATCCCAGCATCCCCCTGACTCCTTCCCCAACTAATAAGGACCCCCCTTCAACCCAAACGGTCCAAAAGGAGATAAACAAATGGGTAAACAATAAATCAAAGAGTGCCAATGTTCCCTGATTATGCCCCTTCCAAGCAGTGGGAGGAGGAGAATTCGGCCCAGCCAGAGTGCATGTACCTTTTTCTCTTTCAGACTTAAAGCAAATTAAAATAGACCTAGGTAAATTCTCAGATAACCCTGATGGCTATATTGATGTTTTACAAGGGTTAGGACAATCCTTTAATCTGACATGGAGAGATATAATATCACTGCTAAATCAGACACTAACCCCAAATGAGAGAAGTGCCGCCATAACTGCAACCCAAGAGTTTGGCGATCTCTGGTATCTCAGTCAGGTCAATGACAGGATGACAACAGAGGAAAGAGAATGATTCCCCACAGGCCAGCAGGCAGTTCCCAGTGTAGACCCTCATTAGGACACAGAATCAGAACATGGAGATTGGTGCCGCAGACATTTGCTAACTTGCGTGCTAGAAGGACTGAGGAAAACTAGGAAGAAGGCTATGAATTATTCAATGATGTCCACATAACACAGGGAAAGGAAGAAAATTCTACTGCCTTTCTGGAGAGACTAAGGGAGGCATTAAGGAAGCACACCTCCCTGTCACCTGACTCTACTGAAGGCCAACTAACTTAAAGGATAAGTTTATCACTCAGTTAGCTGCAGACATTAGAAAAAAACTTCAAAAGTCTGCCTTAGGCCCAGAGCAAAACTTAGAAACCCTATTGAACTTGGCAACTTCGGTTTTTTATAATAGAGATCAGGAGGAGCAGGCAAAATGGGACAAACGGGATAAAAAAAAAAGGCCACTGCTTTAGTCATGGCCCTCAGGCAAGCAGACTTTGGAGGTTCTGGAACAGGGAAAAGCTGGGCAAATCGAATGCCTAATAGGGCTTGCTTCCAGTGTGGTCTACAAGGACACTTTAAAAAAGATTGTCCAATAGAAATAAGCCACCACCTCGTCCATGCCCCTTATGTCAAGGGAATCACTGGAAGGCCCACTGCCCCAGGGGATGAAGGTCCTCTGAGTCAGAAGCCACTAACCAGATGATCCAGCAGCAGGACTGAGGGTGCCCGGGGCAAGCGCCAGCCCATGCCATCACCCTCACAGAGCCCCAGGTATGCTTGACCATTGAGGGTCAGAAGGGTAACTGTCTCCTGGACACTGGCGCGGCCTTCTCAGTCTTACTTTCCTGTCCTGGACAACTGTCCTCCAGATCTGTCACTGTCCGAAGGGTCCTAGGACAGCCAGTCACTAGATACTTCTCCCAGCCACTAAGTTGTGACTGGGGAACTTTACTCTTCCACATGCTTTTCTAATTATGCCTGAAAGCCCCACTCTCTTGTTAGGGAGAGACATTCTAGCAAAAGCAGGGGCCATTATACATGTGAATATAGGAGAAGGAACAACTGTTTGTTGTCCCCTGCTTGAGGAAGGAATTAATCCTGAAGTCTGGGCAACAGAAGGACAATATGGACAAGCAAAGAATGCCCGTCCTGTTCAAGTTAAACTAAAGGATTCCGCCTCCTTTCCCTACCAAAGGCAGTACCCCCTCAGACCCGAGACCCAACAAGAACTCCAAAAGATTGTAAAGGACCTAAAAGCCCAAGGCCTAGTAAAACCATGCAATAGCCCTTGCAAGACTCCAATTTTAGGAGTACAGAAACCCAACGGGCAGTGGAGGTTAGTGCAAGATCTCAGGATTATCAGTGAGGCTGTTGTTCCTCTATACCCAGCTGTACCTAACCTTTATACTCTGCTTTCCCAAATACCAGAGGAAGCAGAGTGGTTTACAGTCCTGGACCTTAAGGATGCATTTTTCTGCATCCCTGTACATCCTGACTCTCAATTCTTGTTTGCCTTTAAAGATCCTTCGAACCCAACGTCTCAACTCACCTGGACTGTTTTACCCCAAGGGTTCAAGGATAGCCCCCATCTATTTGGCCAGGCATTAGCCCAAGACTTGAGTCAATTCTCATACCTGGACACTCTTGTCCTTCGGTACAGGGATGATTTAATTTTAGCCACCTATTCAGAAATCTTGTGCCATCAAGCCACCCAAGTGCTCTTAAGTTTCTTCACTACCTGTGGCTACAGGTTTCCAAACCAAAGGCTCAGCTCTGCTCATACCAGGTTAAATACTTAGCGCTAAAATTATTCAAAGGCACCAGGGCCCTCAGTGAGGAATGTATCTAACCTATACTGGCTTATCCTCATCCCAAAACCCTAAAGCAACTAAGAAGGTTCCTTGGCATAACAGGTTTCTGCCGAATATGGATTCACAGGTATGACAAAATAGCCAGACCATTATATACACTAATTAAAGAAACTCAGAAAGCCAATACCCATTTAGTAAGATGGACACCTGAAGCAGAAGTGGCTTTCCAGGCCCTAAAGAAGGCCCTAACCCAAGTCCCAGTGTTAAGCTTGCCAATGGGGCAAGACTTTTCTTTATATGTCACAGAAAAAACAGGAATAGCTCTAGGAGTCCTTACACAGGTCCAAAGGACAAGCTTGCAACCCATGGCATACCTGAGTAAGAAAATAGATGTAGTGGCAAAGGGTTGGCCTCATTGTTTACAGGTACTGGTGGCAGTAGCAGTCTTAGTATCTGAAGCAGTTAAAATAATACAGGGAAGAGATCTTACTGTGTGGACATCTCATGATGTGAATGACATACTCACTGCTAAAGGAGACTTGTGGCTGTCAGACAACTGTTTACTTAAATATCAGGCTTTATTACTTGAAGGGCCAGTGCTGCGACTGCACACTTGTGCAACTCTTAAACCAGCCACATTTCTTCCAGACAATGAAGAAAAGATAGAACGGAACTGTCAACAAGTAATTGCTCAAAACTACGCCACTTGAAGGGACCTTTTAGAGGTTCCCTTGACTGATCCCGACCTCAACTTGTATACTAATGGAAGTTCCTTTGTAGAAAAAGGACTTCGAAAAGTGGGGTATGCAGTGGTCAGTGATAATGGAATACTTGAAAGTAATCCCCTCACTCCAGGAACTAGTGCTCAGCTGGCAAAACTAATAGCCCTCACTCGGGCACTAGAATTAGGAGAAGGAAAATGGGTAAATATATATACAGACTCTAAGTATGCTTACCTAGTCCTCCATGCCCACGCAGCAATGTGGAGAGAAAGGGAATTCCTAACTTCTGAGGGAACACCTATCAAACATTAGGAAGCCATTAGGAAATTATTATTCACTGTACAGAAACCTAAAGAGGTGGCAGTCTTACACTGCCGGGGTCATCAGAAAGGAAAGGAAAGGGAAATAGAAGGGAACCGCCAAGCGGGTATTGAAGCCAAATGACCCGCAAGGCAGGACCCTCCATTAGAAATGCTTATAGAAGGACCCCTAATATGGGGTAACCCCCTCTGGGAAACCAAGCCCTAGTACTCAGCAGGAAAAATAGAATAGGGAACCTCATGAGGACATACTTCCCTCCCCTTCAGATGGCTAGCCACCGAAGAAGGAAAAATATTTTTGCCTGCAGCTAACCAATAAAAATTACTTAAAACCCTTCATCAAACCTTCCACTTAGGCATTGATAGCACCCATCAGATGGCCAAATTATTATTTACTGGACCAGGCCTTTTCAAAACTATCAAGCAGATAGTCAGGGCCTGTGAGGTGTGCCAAAGAAATAATCCCCTACACTGCAGGCCATACATTTCAATCCCTGTATCTTTAACCTCCTTGTTAAGTTTGTCTCTTCCAGAATTGAAACTGTAAAACTACAAATGGTTTTTCAAATGGAGCCCCAGATGCAGTCCATGACTAAGATCCACCGTGGACCCCTGAAATGGCCTGCTAGCCCATTCTCTGATGTTAATGATGTCGAAGGCACCCCTCCCGAGAAAATCTCAACTGCACAACCCCTACTATGCCCCAATTCAGCAGGAAGCAGTTAGAGTGGTCATCGGCCAACCTCCCCAACAACACTTGGGTTTTCCTGTTGAGAGGGGGTACTGAGAGACAGGACTAGCTGGATTTCCTAGGCTGACTAAGAATCCCTAAGCCTAGCTGGGAAGGTGACCGCATCCACCTTTAAACATGGTGCTCGCAACTTAGCTCCCACCCAACCAATCAGAGAGCTCACTAAAATGCTAATTATGCAAAAACAGGAGGTAAAGAAATAGCCAATCATCTATTGCCTGAGAGCACAGTGGGAGGGACAAGGATCGGGACATAAACCCAGGCATTCGAGCCAGCAACAGCAACCCCCTTTGGGTCCCCTCCATTTGTATGGGAGCTCTGTTTTCACTCTATTTCACTCTATTAAATCTTGCAACTGCAAAAAATAAAAATAAAAATAAATAAATAAGAAGCCTATAACAGGGAGACATAGAAGAGAGTCATTTTACCTCCTATATTTGATCCTTTTGTTGTTTTCAATGAAACCTTTAAGAAACCTTAAAGGGCTGTATATTATACTGTGTGCTGTTTTCAGGGAAAGTAGCATAAAGGAGAAAAAGTAAGATGTAATTATTTTACAATTGATCATGGATGTTAGAAACGCTTATCTAAAGAAGACATCAATTTGGAAAAAAAAAAAAAGCAAAAAGCAACAAGCAGTGCCTTAATAAGCACCTACTCTAAATGTAGAATTCTTGTAGGTACCAGACAGCAGAAGGCTGTGATTGTCCCTATTTTCTTTTTCACTTTCTTTCTTTTTCTTTTCCTTTTTTTTTTTTTTTTTGGAGACAGGGTCTTACATTGTCTCACAGGCTGGAGTGCAGTGGTTCGAGTATGGCTCACTGCAGCCTTAAACTCTTGGACTCAAGAGATCCTCCTGCCTCAGCCTCCCTAGTAGCTGGGATCACAGGAATGTACTACCATGCCTAGTTAATTTTTAGATTTTTTGTAGAGAGAAGGTCTCCTTATGTTGCCCAGACTGGTTTCAAACTCCCAGGCTCAAGAAATCCTTCTTTCTCAGCCTCCCAAAATGCTGAGATTACAGGCATGAGTCACAGCACCTGGTAGCTCCTTGTTTCTTCTAATATTTCAGCAAGTAAGTCCAATTCCGAAAGAATTAGCAGGAAGCCTAATTCAGGGCAGAGATGAGGCTGAATTAGTCAAGATTTAGCAATGTATAGCTATTATGTTGATACTCCATCTAACTCCTATGTCTGCTTCTCAATTCTGTTCAGTGTTGGAGGTGGAGACAGAAGTGATATAATCCCCATTAGTAGAAAAGTCAGACCTCTCTGCCACAGAGGAGCTTAAAGTTTAGTTTAGTGAAGAGTTATCAAACAATTATTTGCACAATCAAAATTATATTCACAATTAGGATGAATGCTACAAAGATTCCATAGGAGCATCTATGGAAGGTCAGGGAGGGCTTCCTTGAGGAAGGAGGCTTTAGGATAAACTGAGAAAGATGAGTTGTAGAGACTACTTAAGGAGAGGGAGAGAGGGGAGCGAGCATGCCAGGCAAAGCAAGAACTTGGACAAAAGGAGCATTGCACAGTCTTTGATTTAGAGATGTCCTCTTGTGGTTGATGTGTGGAATAAAGTGAGTAAATGACAGTGAGGCAGACACGAGCTTTCCTCTTCCAAAACAATGTGAATCCACTAAACAATTTTAATCCAGAAACTAATTTTTGTTTCTTAAAATAATCAGTAAGACTTCAGTGAAGAGAATGTTTCAAAAGGGTACAAGAAAATATGTGAAGAAAGCTTCCAGGAGACCATTATCATACCTAAGATCCTATGACTGTCCCATCCTTCGCCAGAAACCTGGAGCTCTAGGAGTCTCCAGTCCACTGTCCAGTAAGAGGGAAAAGACATGCTCTGGTTGTATAATGGAGATATGTTCTTGGCATATCCAACAGGGAATATGACTGCACATTTCTAATAGCACTAATGCTAAATAGTTCTTCTCATGTTATGAACATGGTCCTATGCCCCCAATGGGTAGATGGAGATAGCAATTGCCTTTTTCACATTTTTCTTGTACTTCTTTTCTATTACCTCCCCAGAATGACTTCACTTTCTCTTCTAAGTGGGAGTTGGCAATGTCTGCTAATTGTTTACTTCCAACTCTTAACTTTTCCTTTTTACCCAATAAAAATATTTTTAACTGACTTCTTAATACCTAGTGTTCAATGAGTATTTGGAAAGTATCTCAAACTTTGGATTTCTCATTCTATATTTGTTTTCCAATCCACCTTGAATTCTACATCTCATCAACGGCTAGAAATCGCACAGTAATGTCACCATCCATCACTCTTTTAAACATTAACCAAATTCATCATAGAAATATCTCTGATTTGGTTTTCCTTCCTCCATTAATAATAATATTATTTAATAATATTACCAATAGGTGATGATTATTGGGAGCTTAATATATGTCTGACATCTGTCCTGCACTTTATCAGTTAATCCTCACAATGATCCTATGCAACAATACTCCCAATATTCAGAGGAAACTGAGACTTTGGAGAGGTTCTCTTGTGTTATATCTAAACTCACGTCTATAAAAAAGAGGCCTTTCATAATTTGACTCCACCTCACCTCTTCCAGCTCCTTTCTCACAATCTATCCAGCTTCTATGATTCAGTCATAATCAGCCTTTTGACAGTTTTCTAAATATGCCACACTCTTTCTTGCAAAGGCAATAGGTTATCTCTAACTCCATTTTCATGGTCAGCCCTGAGTGTTAGTTCCGAATGGAATCTCTGATTTTCCTGCACGCATCCTGTCCATCTCCTCAGTTACCCTCCCTAGTAGCTGGGACCATAGGCACATAACTTATGCTGCTATATATTTAGAAGTCTACCTCTCTCAGGAAAGGTTTAGCTCTCCAGGTGTGAAAAAAATCTAACACAGCTTTATACATTTAGAGTCCAGAACAGTGCCTGAAACGTGGCAGAAATTCTGTGACTTTTTACGGAAAGAATGGTGAAGCCAACAATTATTCCCCAGACACTGTGCTGAATTCTCTCACATATTGTTCATTTAATCCCCACAACAGCTCTGTGGAGTAGGTGAAATCATCATTTCTATTTAACACATAAGGAAACTGAGAATAAAAGAAGTTAAATAATTGTCGCTGAGATTATAAACTGCCTTCCAAAATCCATTCTCTAATTTGTTCTCATGGAAATAGAACCCTTAATTTTCAGATGGCCTTATTGCTATCCAGAATTAAGAGTTTATTTTCTTTTGGACTTCTAACCAGATAAGCCTTGTGACTAAGATCTGAATCCTGGTTGTGCTATTAAAAGAAAGTACCTACCTCTTCCATTTTTCTCCTTTCTCTTGTCTGAAACATGATGGTGAGTCATCTTGGATTATACAGAGAAGGGCAACACCCTAGAGATGGCAGAGCAACATGAAAAAGCAATCTAGGCCAACTGAAGACCTCTTAGAACAGATCCACTTTGACAGATTATGTCCAAAGATGGCCCCAAAAATTCTTCCCATCTTGCAAGTCCTTTTGCAATGTAACTTTGTTATTCCTATCATCAAGAGATCTCTCCCTTCCATTTAAATCTGGGCAGACCCCATATCTTGTTTTAGTCAATACAATGCAGCAGAAATGACACTTGAGTCTTTTAAGCCCAGATTTTCCAGTCTGTTTTCACTCTCCTGGAAGCCAGCAGCCCGGTCAACAAGCTCATGCTAGACTATCTAAAGATGAGAGATCACATTGGGAGAGAGAGAGAGGCGATGCTTGGGAGAACCAAGTGGCTGCAGCTGTAGTCAGCATCTAGACATAAGACTTAGGATCTCTTATCTAAGTTAATATGATGTAAAGTGAAGATGAGCCTTCCTTACTGAGGTCTGCCCAAATACTGGACCCTCAGAAACAATGGCTCTTTTTAAGCCTCAAAGTTTTGAGGCAATTTGTCACATAGCAATATAACTAAAACAACCACCATACCAGCTGGACTTTTATAAAAAGAAACTTCTATATTGTGATAAGCCACTGTTATTTTGTGTCTCTGGGACACAAGCAGAGCCTATATTCTAGCTACTGCATTAACTTAACCATGTTTCCACAGTAAGTGGCTAAACAAGGACTTTAAATCTAGCTCCAGAGCCCAGTCTCTAAACCACACCATTATACTCTCGAGGAGGAAGGAGGGAAAGAAGAGGAAGAGATACATTTTATTTGTAGGAAAACATACATTTTGTTCCAAATGACTAATGGAGTATCTGTTTTATAGTAAGGATTGTTTTGATGTTTATTAATGATGCTGTATAAACTGACATTATAGGCTTCCTATTTGGCTATTTAAAACCTATACTCTAGTTTCAACCCTTATCAATTTTTTTTTTTACAAAAATCGTACCATTCCAAGAAATCTGCAGTGTCCACTAAAGCATAAAATATAACTTTTCTGTGTTTCCACCTTATAAACACCCTGCATACTCTTCCACTTGCCTGGACCGCCCCCACCCTTGTTTCTCCAGTTCATTTTTCACGTTTTCAATTGAAGACACTCCTTCCTCTATGGAAACTCTCCTGAGCAACCCAATCCCAATGAACTTCTACAGCACTTGCTGCCAGTTCTATGCATTTGGCAGATCAGATATAGAGTCTTGTATTGTTAGTGTTTTATATATTATTCATTCAAAAGCTATTTACAGGCCACTCACTGTGCGCTACATTGCCTCAGGTGCTAGAGGGAATTACAAATAAGGATAAGTCAAGATCCCTTCAACCAAGAAGTTACAGTACAGTAGGGGGGGATAAACAATAGTGCACAAATGATTATAAGTCAAAGTAGGAAATAATGAGTCCCAAAAGAGATGGCCACGGGAATTCCTTAATTCCTTAATTCCGCTGGATACAAGCTCCATGTATGCCTTTTTCCTTCCCATTTAATTATAAGCTTCCTCAAAGCACAAACCTTATCACACACTTTGGGTCCTTCCAGTCTCTAGTTGACCATTTTGCACATTGTTAACATACAATAAATATTAAGGTATTTTTTTGATTTGTTTAAGGAATATAAAAAATGAATACCTAGAAAGTGGTAATTTACTGAAATCTCACATTATTTTGAATAAACTGAGGAAATATTCATAAAGTTTTACCTTATCAAACCTTAAAATATGTCAACAAATTAAAAATCACAACAAATTCCAGGAGACTGTCTCACTACTTTTATTTTATTAGAACTTTCTGTGACATATGAAGCTTGAATAAACCATCACCTAAGATACAGAAATTGTTTGTTCTACAAATATTACTTAACAGTGTTTGTTGTAATCAAAATTTGCCTGGCATATGAAAGGATTATATAATATGTATAATTATATTTTCTAGACTAATGATTCTGTTGAAGGCTATGAAACGTCAAATTAAAAGACAGTTATATCACTAATATAATCGTTGCCTAAATCTAAAATGTGTACAAGGAGATGTAAGTGAAATGGAGAAACTGGAATATTGGAAGATCAGAGGAGATAACAGCTTCTATGAGGCAAAAGGAAAAAAAAGCATACTTTTGAAATTCAGAGTTTGAACCTCAGGCTCTGCTACTTATAACCCATTCTCTCTTGGGCAAGCTACTTAAACTTCTCTAAACTTCAGTTTTCTCAAATGCTGTGGATAGAACACTGCTTATCTTACACAGATACTATAAAGCATAAATGAGAAATGTATGGAAAGTACCTAGCCCAGAGCCTCACATATAGTAGACATGAAAACGATATCTACAGTTTCTTCTTCTTTTTGGTATTCTGACAAATTGGGTATCTGGATGGTCCACTTTTTTATTCTACAAGGAAAGGTTGATATTGATTGGAGCATACCAGACTTCTGAATTCAACAACTTGTAAATTTCCTTAAATTGAAAAGTAGAATAAGAAAGAACTGGGAACAAGGCTGGGCTGCCAACGTTATATTTTTCAAAGGAAGGGAGGCAATGACAGAAAGAGCATTCCCTTTGGAGTTGTTTTTTGTTTTGTTTTTCTCATAGGCCACTTTGTCACAGTCAGCATTTGTGGACAGGCTGTGTTGGATTACGTACTGGTAATCCAACACAGTACGTAAATCCACAGCTGCTCTGTAGCTCAGATTTTTTTGCAACTTAAAAATAGTTTGATTCGGCTGGGCGCGACTGCTCACGCCTGTAATCCCAGCACTTTGGGAGGCCGAGGCAGGCGGATCACGAGGTCAGGAGATCGAGACCATCCTGGCTAACACGGTGAAATCCCATCTCTACTAAAAATACAAAACAAAACAAAACAAACAAACAAACAAAAAAATTAGCCTGGCGTGGTGGCTGGCGCCTGTAGTCCCAGCTACTCAGGAGGCTGAGGCAGGAGAATGGCGTGAACATGGGAGGTGGAGCTTGCAGTGAGCCAAGATCGCCGCACTGCACTTCAGCCTGGGAAACACAGCAAGACTCCAACTCAAAAAAAAAAAGAAGTTTTATTCTATGATTTCGTGCCAGTATGATTACACAAATGAACAGATAAATCCTTAAATGACAATTAAAAATGTAAAATTCATTTATAATAGGAGCTTAAAGGAAAGAGTACGAAAACAAGGTTCAAAATCTTCATGGTTAACTTAAACATGTTACGCAATCTACATTTCCAGTCAGTTCCTTTACAATGTATGGCAATTATTTACTTGTCGAGAACAGATTAACCTTGTTTTATTTACACGTGGGGAAACAAAACAAAACAAAACAAAAAAACCAAAAAAAAACCCTAACAGTGAAATGAATAGGAGCTTTGGAATTGGACAGAATTGGCTGTAAATCCCTGGCTCATCAGTTACTAATTTTGTGAGAAGTTGCTTGAGCACTTATCTTCTCAGAGAATCTGTATTCTTTTGGGGAAATTGATGTACAAATACCTGCAGTTGTGAGCAGTAAAATGAGAAAACTCACATAGAGTACTCAGTCAGTGCTTTTAAAATAGTTTTTATTTTAAAATGCACATCCTCTTCCCCGTTCTTTCCCCAGTTTTCCCAGGAAATGCTGTGTTTACTCATGTTGTCCTAGCCTAATTATTAATAGCACCCCTTTTCACATTCCCAAGCATACAAGATTGGATGAAAATTTATATAGTTACCCTATCTATGAAAAAACTGTTCCCATTATATGATCTTTGGGGGAATTGCCTTCATTCTTAGGTTAATGCTTTCAAACAGTTTTTTTTAAATAGAATATAAGGATTTAGGAAGTACCTGGTGTTCATAAGATTGGAGAACAGGACAGATATTTTTGTTATAGTTAAGTTTTCCTGGGAATAATATCCTTTATCTACTGTTTACTAGCTATAATACCATGGCCAAGCTATCCAAGTCTTTTTTGAGTATTTGTTTCTCATAGTTCATCTAAATTGGTGATGTGAAGATGAAAGGAGATAATAAAGCACTCGGTAGAATATATGATACATAGTAAATACTCAATATGTGAATACTGTTATATTCTTTTAAAAACATATATTCATATGGATATATAGAACATATCTGTAGATAAGCCAATATGTTAACAGTAAATATTACTATTGATTTCTATTTTCTTCATTTCTTTTGACAGTATTGCCTAACGGTCCACAATAAAACATTCTCACTTTGGTAACTGTATAAAAATAGAAGTACATTACATAAAAAAGGTAAATGTAATTTTCATTCATTCATTTACTGTTTAAACATTTATTTAGTAGTTACTATATACCAGACACTGGGGGCAGTTAGAAAATTAAAAGATACTCTCAGGGGTGGGGAGGGCAGAAAGGGGCACTAAACATATTATAATTTTAAAATTATTTTCATTTCATTAATCGAACATCTTTGACTATTAAATTAAGTGGCAGATTGTGGGTAATAACAAATATAATCCAAATGCAGGGTTTATTTTTCCACTCTGAAAAGCATATATCTTTTACATCAAATACAATGTCCCTACATATATTTATCTTTTTAAAAGATTTTTTATTTATTTTTATTCTATATTTATTGTAGCAAATGTTACAATAGCATCTCCAAGATGTATCATCTACCTTAAAACAGAAGTATTAAGTTGTTGGCCAGGTGCGGTGGCTCATGCCTGTAATACCAGTACTTTGGGAGGCTGAGGCAGGAGGATCACTTGAGCCCAGGAGTTTGAGTCCAGCCTGTGCAACATGGCAAAACCTTATTGCTACTACAAAAAAAAAAAAAAAATTAGCTGGACATGGTGGCATGTGCCTCTAGTTCCAGCTACTTAGGAGGCTGAGGCAGGAGGACTGGCTGAGCCCAGGAGGACCAGGCTGTAGTTAGCCCTGACAGTACCACTGCCAAAAGAGGCCTTATCTCAAAAAAATAAATAAATAAATAAAAAGGAGTATTCCTATTTGAGATAAGGAATATGCTTATTTAACATTCTTTCATTTTACATCATAAATAACCAGTAATCTAATGAACATTTTATGAGAACAACTCCAGATAAGCAAAACAATGCACTTTGGTTTGGCTCCAAAATAAAACAGGGTTTCTCTGTTATTTTGAGAATAGTCAGTTTTACACTAAATTCTTTCATTCATTAAAATCAAAACTATCTCCAATTATATTATTTCTTTGACTGAGAAACCTGTTCTATTTAAAACTTAATTACTACTACTGGTCACAAGTACAAACAAAATAATGAATGTAAAAAAACAAAAATATTTAAAAGAACCACAAATTTAGCATTGTTATTGACAAAGATATCTTCTGTAATTATCAAAAAATAATCTAACACAAATCCAAACTCAATCATTTCAAACACACAGGAACTCTAAGAGTTTCTGAATTTGAGCTTCCTGTGTTACCATTTGATTTTGCCAGAGACCTAGTAAGAATGTCCATGTTCTCTTGCTTTACATGTTCTGGTAAATTGGTAATGCCTAACAACAAGCAGCACTTTGCCAGGCTCAGACATCATGTTGATAAGCTAATGATCCATAATGAGGCCACCAGACATCAATTACATAAACGAGGCTAGGAACAGAGCCAACACAGGTACACTATACTAATTTGTTCATGTCTGTTGGCCAAAAGCCAACTGCATGACAAGTGGATGCCCCTAAAGCCATTGGGGCACGACTCTTTTGCTTCAGAGAGGGATTGGACATTGCATACCTTGGTATTCTGTGTGATGTCTATTTGTCTAAGGACACTTTAATGAACCATGCAAGTACATCTAATGAGAAGACATCTGAAGGGTCAGTAAATTCACATATTAGAAAGAGTACAAGGTAATAAAGAAAAGTTGAAAGTAAGGGGGAAAAAACCATCTGAGACTGACATAGAACTTAATCAAATTTCTAAAGCATAAAGCAGGGGCCATACAAAGGGCAACATATTTTTTTCCCAATACTTTAAATTTTGAACAAGCATTACTCAATATCATTAATAGATTTTATGTATTTGGGTTAAATCAGAACATTGAACACTTTTTCTTTACTCTCATAATGTATTTCTATGAGTGATAATACTTACAACATCTAATCAAAATGTTTTCCATTAAGATACACCTTTGAGTTTATAATAGAAATGAGCAGGGAAATATAATCCGTTGAATATGATTTTTTGATAAGCATAAAGATTAATGACAAATTATATATAGAAGGAACTCGATTAAGCATATAATAAAATGAATATATAATCAGTATAATAAAATTTAATATGTTATACAATGCCTTAAAAATCTGTTGATAGGGGCTTAAACAAAGGGATTCAAAATTTCTACATATCAGAATCATATGGACAAAATCTATATTCTGATGTTTTTGATATAATGTAGCTATCAGAATTGTTTACTGGTTAACTTTTGTATATCATGACTGTTTTAAAGGAGAGAGACACGATATGAAGCATCAAGGCCTTTATTATGGGACTTCATATCCTTTTTTTTTTAGCAGTGTTTAAGCAAGATCAGCTTACTCTGAGCAGAACCAGAGAAACAAGAAGGTGCAGGTGATGGTAAACATGGATTCAGCATTTACGATCAGGAGGTATACTCCAAGTAGATTGAACAGAACTCTTGGCATATGAATGACTACTCCACCTGGACAAGGAACATCAGTACCAAAATTCACCCCCTCTGCTGTTGTAAAGATACCTACAAATTCTTGACTACTTGTCCTGTTGTAAGATGGAGGCTAGTTCCCCTCCTCTTAAAATTGGGCTGACTTTACTTACTTGCTAGACAAATAGAATGTGACGGAAGTGATGTTCTTGGACTTCCTACACTAGAAAAGAGCTTTGCAGTTTCCTGCTTAGAATCCTCTTATAACACTTATTGCTATATTGTGAAGAATCCAAACAGTCCAACTTGAGAGAAATCAAGGCACTCAGTAGACAACCCTGGCTGAGTTTCCAGCTAGCAGCCAGAAACAACATGCCAGCCTTGGAAGTGCACTGTCTTAAGTGGCTCGATCCTCCAACTTCGGTCTAGCAGCCCCAGCTGAAGCCATGCAAAGCAGAGACAAGTTTTCCAGCTAAGCCGTGTGAAAATGACAAATTTGTAAGCAAAATAAATGATTGTTGTTTTAAGCTACTATGTTTTTGGATGGTTTGTAACACAGCTATAGGTAATATTGTTGTCAATTATACCTTCTTGTCAAAGCTATAGGTAAAAATGTTGGTCAAAGTGGTCTAGTCAGCAACTATGTCACAAGAGTTCTGTTTACAAGCACATAATTTAAGCACTTGGAACAGTGCTACCCAGACAACAGCAGTTAGCAGCATGCAACACTGTTGAAACTGTGTATGTGTCTGGAATGTTCTCTAGCCATGAGGTTAGACCTTCTTGCCAATCTGCTCAGTCGTCTTTATGGGTCCCCTAGAGAGTAATAATTTTCAAAAATGGCAGAGGTATTTTACAACCACTTGTTCTGCCACCCTTCTTCAGGATAACACCCATGGTTAAGGCTCTGACTATGATCAACGCAGCCTCCAAAACTGGAGGGTTTGACATATTAAATGTTAAATGGTTATAGGGCCATTTGGCACAGTGATTATAAACTACCTAAAATGATCTATAGTTTCAAAATGGCACTCTATTTCAGATAATGAATTTTAAGTATGGTGACATTTGTTCTGTTTGGTTTTTTTAAAAAAGCCATATATATCAATCAGGGGATTTTAAAATAGTGATACCAGTTAGTGTTCTCAATGTTCTGTATGAAATACCCAATTTTGTTTTCAAATTCTATATACCATGGAGTACTAACCAATGTGTATAATTTAGTTCAATTAGAAATTTATTCTGTAAATAAAACAGGTTTCAAAAGTCACTTCAGACTAGTGAGGGTACCATTGCAACTAAAAATAATAATTAAAAATTAAAGAAAATAATTAGCATGCCTTTCAGCTTTTAAAATCAGACAGCTGTTTTACTAACAGTTAGGAAAACTGGAGTAGTATTTGCCTTGGGCCCAAACAAATGTGTCTATTTCACTAATTTCTGTGTAGTACTTAATTTTTATGAGAACCAGATATTTTTCAGTGTACAAAGCCAATACCAAAAAACCTTAATTTTAACTGGTTACATATAGAATTATGTATATACACGTGTATTTATAAAAATGGAAAATGAATTATAGTGCTTATTTAGTCATCTCTCTTACAGATATACTCTTATCTTCACTAGAAGGAGGTGATGTTCCACGACTTTAGACTGGAAATGCTAGCTTTAGAGAAACGAAATATCAATTAGAAAGTAGTGTTAGTACATCAATGAGGATCAGGGAACAGTAGATGAGAACAGATTGAAACTTTTAGACTTAGGGTTCAGGGGAAATGGCTTCCAAAAATCAAGTACCTATGATAGTTCAGAGTTGTACTGAATGTATTCCAAAGCACTAATTTTAAGGTTCTAGTTGTTTGTTTTGTAGTTCATAGTTCTATTAGTCAGATGATGATATTTAGTAACTTATTATTACTTATACTGGCAAATTATGATATACTCTTGAGAATAAGGGGGTCTGATTGGAGGGGCCACAACAATGATTCCTCCATGGTAGACAATCCCTGGGTGAGGATATACTGAAAAGCTGGGCTTTTTGGAAGTCTCAAACTGGTATTTTCAAAGACCACATTTAGTCAGCAGAAGTGTTTTCCTTGATAGTGACAGTAGACAAAATGTTTTAAAGCAACTGAATTTGAATACCTTCAAAAGGGGACTGCCATCTCCAGTTTTGTCACAGTCTCCATCACTTCCTTATTTATTGCTAAGAGACCACTTTATTCATTCATGGGCTTTGTTTGACTCTGAAAAGCTCCTATGAGCTTTTTAACTCATATGAGTTTAAAACTTCTGAACTGTACTATTTAATACTATTAAAGTATTTGTTAGATATTATATAAAACACACAGAAACATACATATTGTAAGTTAGCCTCTGCACAATGCACATGCTCTACATATTGAAGGAGAAGGCAAAAAAATCTAAATAGTTAAGTGGAATTTGTTTCCTTATTCTAATAACAGACCTGGTCATTTGAATTCCTTAATATCCAATCTTAACAAAATGCTAATAATGCTTTAAAGGCTGTAGTATAATTCCCCTGAATCAACTGAAATATAATTTTAGAAAAAAAAAGTCTAATAGTGATGAGAGGTAATAATACGTATAACATATCTTATAAATGGCATCTAAGACAAAACAAAATTATAATTATCTTCATTTCATGATGCAATAATTGTTGCCAGGAAAAGAAAATAAGGATGTGACAGCTTAAAAGTCTATCAACTGAAAATGTATAACTATTGCTGCTGAGAAATTTCATAAAACATATTCCACTCACCTCCCCAAACAGCAGGCTGTTCTTCAAACATGTTGGAAGACTAGTAGCAAATTATTCTTTTTGTTTTGATTTATTTAAAGCCAGATGAGTTTATTGACAAACATCCAACTCCTCTTTCTATATATATGAGTACTGGCTTTTTAGTTAAAACAAACACAAAACAAAACAAAAAAGGAAAAGAAAATATTCATATTTGTTAGGTTTACGTGAACTGTGTATTGTAACATAAAAACAAAGGCAAAATGTGCCTTTTTAGTGCATTAATTATGATCCATCGTTTACTCTATGATTAGAACACACAAGGGGAAAATAACATTTGTACCCATAGGTATTCTAATGAGATTAGATATGAAGCTTTTGAAATAACCTCAAACAGCTATTACCAAGCCTTATTACTGTTTAGTAGTTTCGATCACACAGCCATTTAGTCACAAATCTGTGGCTATAGACCAAATCCACACAGACTTCTCAAAGGACATAAACACCTCAAGGGACAAAAAAGATGCCTGGAAAGCCTTCCTTGAGCATGAGTTCTACTGCTTCCTGTGGTAGTCTGCACACGTTTTTCTGCATGGAGTTCACTTATTTAAACAGGTGAAAGTAATTAGATTTTTAAATGATTGTATTGTCAATGGGTCTGTACTCTGACAGAAAAATTCATACTGACGGTAAAAACCCCAAAACTCATAAAAATAGGAATTTTGGGGGAAATGATTAGTAGCACATTCCTAAGTTTCCACAAAAAAATCTGAAGAATTAAATATATTTCTTTTTTGTATGGCATGTCAAATAGCCATAGATGGTAGAGATGTAATTGTTTTTTTGGCAATCAAGTATGAGAAGTACTAAGCACTTTCTATAGGGAAATTCTGAAACTACATTTTTTCATAAAAAGAAATCTACATTACGGTTGCTATCAATCGTACTGCGCCACAGTTTATTGTAAAAATTAGATTGAAACAACTTAAAAAATCTTAGTAAAGGGCTATTGTTAGACTCTAGTGGTTTGAAATGGTCTTTTAGAGATCTAAAGAGATTAATCTTCTCTAAACACAGAAGTCATTTCAGTGTAAAAAAATCATACAATGAAAACTGCAGAGCTTTAATTTCTGAAAAGCCCAGATAATTATATATTCCATGGCTCTCAGATTTCCTTACCAATAGTGGTGCTCAGTTTTAACATTTATATTTTACATTTAGTATTAGAATCAAAATCATGAATAGGTTCAAAAGAGCCATTTTGAGTCTAACAGGAATTCTCTGTGTACATTCTATAATCTACTTATTCTAAAACTAAGGTTTTGATATATGCTGATTAATTAGGCTGAAAGAATAAAATAGGGTTCTGCTGTATTAAATCAAACTCAGCATTTAAAAAAATAGAATGTATACAATTATGCTAAGGTCACCTCTTACAAAATGTCTGAGATGACAAACTGAAATATATACTGCCTTTAAAGGAAAAGTTAGACTTGGTTTGTTAAATTGTAATTTTTAAATATAAGTCATGCTATTTTGTCTAAGAGTCTGCAAAAAGAAAAAAAATTAAAAGTGAATCCTAGCTATGTTCATATTAATTACATGATACAGCATGATTAGATGAGAGTAATTAGCATATGCTGAAGTAAACTGAGTTTGAAAGCTTACTCAACATTATTAAGCACCCTTTTTGAAAGTACTGAATAGCTTAATTTAATTTGTGCTGGTTAAAGCACACAGACTTCCAAATATCAAGACAATACTAAATTTACTCTTTTACCCAAATCATACTAATAAATGCAGAGTAAGAGATGTCTGAATGCCACTAGCCAAAGATTATGTGCTTGATTTAACATTTTTTCATGATTAATATTCAGTACAGACTGATTTACTCTCATCAAAATCATGTGATTTTTGCCCATCACCTTCCTCAAAAACTAAATGAGCCTACTGCAAATCCATACCGTTTATGGAAATCTAAATGTAAACTAATTAGATTATATGAGAACAAAGTGCACATTATTTGTCAAATATAGTTATAAAATTTTAAACCAATAAATTTTAAAGGAAGAAAGTATTTTATCTATTAAATAAAAGTGGGATTTTCTGAAAGTAAGATTAACAAACAGCAAACTATATATCTGTAATTCAATTGAATATAAACAACCATGTGTTGTCCATTAGGAAGGCATTTGCTCAGGGTTATTTTCCTAGCTATGGTGACGAATTTGCACCAATCCATCTACATAGTCTCACCCAGTTCTCCTTGTCACCAACTGCACACATTTGCCAGCCAGCTGGCTGGGGTGAGGGGTGTATCCTGTGCCACATAACAAAGAGAAGCTTGCTGGCCTGCACTGGGATGAAATCCATGACCTCCACGACCTCCACTTCATTAACAATATGGGTAGCTAAGTGAGCTAACTGGCCATTGATTAAAATAAATGTATGCCTCACCAAGCCGAAACACTGTCACCAACCTTCAATATATGTGTTAAATTTTATGAGGAACAAATTTCATGAAATTCAACACTACCATCATTACAATGAAACTAGTATAGAATTGAAGGGGAAAATGAGCTCCAAAAAGAAATTAAGTACTTAAGGCTAATTCATAAATTTAGGATAGTGTTTAATTCAGTTGATTTAAGTCAACTTTAAAATGAAATTCCTCTTAAAAAGAAGGACTTGAATTAAATAAAAGTCTAACAAAATATTTTTAATGAAAATTATTGAAGACCTACAAGCAAATATCTCTTATAGACAGGAACAGCAAGTCTAGCGCTTAACAATGATAAGTTTGCTCCCTTGTCATGGATGTACTTTTTTTTTAAATACACATATATACACAAATATCAGCAGCAAAGGAAGGGATATGAAAGAAGGCAACGTCTGAATCCAGGGATTTCTTAGGATAACATTACAAGCATCTTTATCTAGCATGTTTTAAAAGATCACGTAAGAGTTTAAAAATATGCAACATGAAAAAAATTATGTAGCTATAATTTACTCAATTGTTGTGTTTTTTCTTCATTAACTCTAAAGAGAATTTATTTAGCTGCCACCCCCTCTTGGTTCTATATCTCTGTGCATATTTGTCTGTCATTTCTAATCAGATCCTTTTGAAAGGTGTGCTCAGAACCAAATAAAACAATACATATTTACTTTGTTTAAACATTACAATGTTCATGCTTTTATATTTTAAGACACTCGCCTTATGCCACTGACATACTTTTTCCCACATAACATTAAACTAAGGATGCCTATTATTTTACAAGTCATCCAAAATCCTATGTCAGATATTTTGCACTCAATGCATTATTTATTCACAACCCTGAGCTTCCATAAGAATTGTTATGGGCATATAGTATAGTAGGGTTTATCTTTCATTGTAATTAATGTTAAAATGTCTTCTCTTCCACACTTCTAAAGCAGGATCATGTCTTATCTTTGCCTCTTTAGGAACAAACCAAGTGCTTTGCATATAAAAGGTGCTTAATAAATGAATACAGAATAGAAGAATGGGTGAATCTCTATTACATTTTACTTTCTTTGTTTTGATCTATTATCCCATTGAGATCTATTTGAATAAGAATTATATTAACTATTCCTCCCACCTTTGTATTATACTTAAATTAGATAGTCACATCTCCTGTTTTTTTCTCACCCAAAGTCATTGAGAAATGTTGAAAATGATAGGGCCTCTGCTATGTCAATTATAGACTTCTCTTCCAGTTGTCATCCACCCTTTAACAAGTAATCTTTGAGTATTCTCATCCAAACAGCTATGCTCCTCTTAATTCCCTCGTCTTTTGTCCCCTTACTTGTTCACCTACATATTTTCAAAGATTTTGTCAAAATGCTTGCTATAATCAGAAGTAATTATATCTTTAGCATTTGCTGAATGCATATTTTTTTAAAAGTTCGATTTTTTATAGCATATGCTTACTGAAAAACATTTTGGTTTCTATTAATGCCACCACTTCTGAAGGCTCACAAACCTTCTATTTAATTATCAAAACCACTAGACCAATATGGAAGTTCTGCTTAAGTATCCAGCTTCCCTACTTTAAAAAATATGCCCCTTGAGCTCATCTCCAGTGTTTAAATTCTTTCCATTTTTCATATTTCAGGCATCACCCACTTTTGTTCTTGGATAACCATAAGTTGTTTAGCATGGCATTCTGTCTCACTGTTGCTTATTTAGCATAGTATTCATCTGAAACATGTTTTTGTTTTTTGCTTTTTGTTTTTTTTCTACCAACTGTAGCTCACTATCCTTGACAGAGAAGAAAGGACTTAGAACCGGAATTCAACTTTGTGACCATAATCTGTGAGTATCACAACATTTGTCCTAAGCATTAAGGTTATTCATTGTTCTTTTGATTTGAACATAGCTCAAAAATATCTGCTTATATTTTCATTGCCATTTTTGTAAGCTTACATCAGTCTTACGTTTGCTGTCCTTGATACTTTTCTCATGATTATGAATCTCAATTTTTTATTAACCTTTAACTGTAAGTTCATTGTATTTTTTACATTTGTCTCTTTCTTTAAACACTACTGTTCCACTCCTTACCCCCTCCCTGGCCACCATAGTTTCATCATATCAACATTGTTTGAATTTTATTTTTGAACCTTTTTTCCACCTTTATCCAAGTTCCCTTTCAGCATTTTTGACTCTGGGCTCATTCAGATCTTTAGGCATTGTTCCTATAGCGAATCTTTGTAACTAAAAGAAATAATTAATGACCCAGAAGTATTATTCACATTACACAGCCCATTCTAGGTTACTTTTCAATCTTTATCAAGAACTAGCAATCAAGTCTAGGGGAAAAAATGCATTCCATAAGCCACTTAGCTGCTTTTTTGGAGTGGGCTTTTACTTTGCTTTCATAACACTTTGCAAACAAGTTTTTAATAATGTTTAAAACATTCTGAATTAATGACAATGCAAAAAGTGAAGAGAAGGACTTGAGATGTTATCAAAGGTAAAATTTACTGAGTTTTGTGAATACACACTAATTGCTATATAAAAGTATTTCTAAAATTTCCATAAACAAAAACTAGTTGACTATCTTGCTCATAAAACTTTTTGCCCCATTGAAATAACTTTTATAATTTAAGCTTTCTTAGGCACAGAGCTAAGACATTATGGCTGAACAAATTATACTTGAAATCTCCTTTCCTAAAGAATATAGTCTCTTTCTGACTATAGCTAGGATTGTCTTTCTTGGCCTATTTAAACTCTAATTTAATATGGCAACTACCTCCCAACATCCTCTTTCCTTTTATACTGTCAGCCATTCTTTTATATTGGTTAGAAGAATTTAAGTCCACTGAGGCATTCCCCTGCATGTTTTTCTCTACTTTCTTACATGAGACTGAAATCAATTCTTAATTATCCTAGGCAAATTGTGCTTTCAAGTTCTTATTGACATTTAAGACCAAATATAATTTATTATATAATTTGATCATGATTTGAGTACTGTCCCTAATGTTTATTCATATTTCCCTAATATTTCTCTGATGAGAGACCTCTGAAATCAAACCATTGCTTTAACTAGAGGAATAGAAAATAATCTGAAGAGAAAGAAAGGTAGGGCAGTTCTATCTTAGTTGGCAATGATGGTGTCCTATTCCAACACTGTGTTAATGAGACTAAACAAACCAAAAAATTATCAGCACTTGCTAGTAAAGTTTATCTTCACTGAGTGGTTTTAAGAACATAAAGTATTTAAGTTGTCCATGAAATGCTAAATAATACCCAAAGCAAATAAAACAATTTTTGAATGGTTTGAAAAGTTAGCTGACATGCTATTCGGCTCATCTTTATTAGTTTGGATAATTGAAAGCTGACTATATTTTCTGTATCTTAAACTTAGGCTTTACAACTTATCTTATAGACTGTATATCTTAGAATATATCTTAGACTGTAAATGTTGTAGTAGCTTTCCACCACCAATTCTCCATTTTCCTGATAATGAATATTTGGCCCTAATATTACAATGCTTAGGAATTTTTTTGTTCATAAGTATCAGAAAACCAAACTTCCTGGGTTAAGAAGAGGGAACCTTAGTTTCACACAACAGGAAATTCAGAAGTAATAGGGAAGGTTTGGGAGTAGATTGACTTAGTGATATAATAATATCAACAAGGCTCCACAAAATTGAGTTTATTCCAAATCAGGTTTTCCTCACAGTCAAAAGATGGTTATCAGGAGAAATCAAGGCAAAACACTTCTTAGTTGTTTTTTATCTAAAAGGGTGAAAGGAAGGTGAAGTTGGGAAAAAAAAGAAAAGGAAGGATGTAGTAGTCCATTTTCTTACTGCTATGAAGAAACACCTGAGACTGGGTAATCTATAAAGAAAAAGAGGTTTAATGGACTCATAGCTTCACATGGCTGGGGAGGCCTCACAATCATGGTGGAAGGCAAAGGAGGAGCAAAGGTAGGTCTTACATGGCAGCAGACAAGAGAGCAGGTGCAGAGGAACTGCCCTTTATAAAACTATCAGATATTGTGAGATTTATACATTACCATGAGAACAGCATGGGAAAAACCCATCCCTGTAATTCAATTACCTCCCACCGCATCCCTCCCATGACACATGGGGATTATGGGAGCTATAATTCAAGATGAGATTTGGGTGGGGACACAGCCAAACCATATCATCCCACTCCAGCCCCTCCCAAATCTCATGTCCTCACATTTCAAAACCAATCATGCTGTCCCAACAGTCCCCTAAAGCCTTAACTCATTTTAGCATTAACTCAAAAGTCCACAGTCCAATGTCTCATCTGAGACAAGGCAAGTCCCTTCCACCTATGAGCCTGTAAAATCAAAAGCAGGTTAATTACTTCCTAGATACAATGGGGATTCAGGCATTGGGTAAATACACACATTCCATATGGGAGAAATTGGTCAAAACAAAAGGGCTGCAGGCCGCATGCAAGTCTGAAATCCAGTGCTGCAGTCAAATCTTAAAGTGCCAAAATGATCTCCTTTGACTCCATGTCTCACATCCAGGTCATGCTGATCCAAGAGGTGGGTTCCCATGGTCTTGGACAGCTCTGCCCCTCTGGCTTTGCTGGATACAGCCCCACTTCTGGCTGCTTTCACAGGCTGGTGTTGAGTATCTGCAGCTTTTCCAGGCCCATGGTACAAGCTGTCAGTGGATCTACAATTCTGGATTCTGGAGGATGGTGGCCCTCTTCCCACAGCTCTTCTAGGCAGTACCCGAGTGAGGACCATTTGTGGGGGCTCCCACCCCACATTTCCCTTTTGTGCTCCCCTAGCAGAGGTTCTCCATGAGCCCTCTGCCTGTGCAGCACACCTCTGCCTGGACATGCAGGCATTCCCATACATCCACTGAAATCTAGACGGAGGTTCCAAACCTTACTTCTTAACTTCTGTGCACTTGCAGGCTCAGCATCACATGTAAGCTACCAAGGCTTGGGGCTTGCACCCTCTGAAGCAATGACCTGAGCTGTTAATTGGTCCCTTTTACCCATGGCTGGGACACAAGTCACCAAGTCCCCAGACTCCAAAAAGCAGCAAGGCCTGGCCCACAAAACCATTTTTTCCTCCTAGGCGTCCTGGCTTGTGATGGGAGGGGCTGCTGTGAAGACCTTTGATAAGCCCTGAAGACATTTTCTTCATTGTCTTGGTGATTAACATTTGGTTCCTTGTTACTTACAGAAATTTTTGCAGCCTGCTTGAATTCCTCCTCAGAAAATGGGTTTTCCTTTTCTATTGCATCACTAGGCTGCACATGTTCCAAACATTTATCCTCTGCTCCCTTTTTAAATATAAGTTCCAATTTCAAACCACCTCCTTGTGAATGAATAAAACTGAATGCTGTTAAGAACCTCCAGTCACCTCTTGAACACTTTGCTGCTTAGAAATTTCTTCTGCCAGATACCCTAAATCATCTCTCTCAAGTTCAAAGTTCCATAGATCTCTAGGGCAGGGGCAAAATGCCTCCAGTCTCTTTGCTAAAGCATATCAAGAATCACCTTTGTTCCAGGTCCCAATAAGTTCCTCATCTCCATCTGAGATCACCTCAGCCTGGAAATTTTGGTCAAAATCATTCAACAAGTCTCTAGGAAGCTCCAAACTTTCCCTGTCTTCTGAGCCCTCCAAGTCTCTAGGAAATCCAAACTTTCCCACATTTTCCTGTCTTCTTCTGAGCCCTCCAAACTGTTCCAATCTCTGCTGGTTACCCAATTCGAAAGTCACTTCCACATTTTTGAGTATCCTTATAGCAGCGCCCCACTCTACTGGTGCCAATTTACTGTATTAGTTCATTTTCATAATGCTATGAAGAAATATTGGAGACTGGGTAATCTATAAAGACAAACAGGTTTAATGAACTCACAGTTCCACATGGCTGGGGAGGCCTCACAATCATGGTGGAAGGCAAAAGAGGAGCAAAGACACTGTCTTACATGGCAGCAGGCAAGAAAGTGCGTTCAGGGAAGCTGCTCTTAATAAAGTCATCATGTCTTGTGAGATTTATTCCACTATCATGAGAACAGCATGGGAAAAACCTGCCCTCATGATTCAATTACCTCCCACCAGGTCCATCCCATGATATGTGGGGATTATGGGAGCTACAATTCAAGATGAGATTTGGGTGGTGACACAGCCAAAACATATCAAAGGAGGATCACATCTCTTGATACTCTTTATCAAAAACAACAAAAAAAGAACTTTCCTAGAGGCCTCCAGCCTATCTGACCTCATTTCTTATTGACCAAAATTGGGTCACATGACAATCTCTAAATTGGTTGAAGGCAAGAAGGATAGTATTACTCTTAGACTAATGAAGTTAAGGTTAATTCTACAAACCACACTGCTGCTATTCAGTAGAATATTCAGTGGAATAAATGTTGAAAAAAAAATCAAAGTAGGCATCCAAGTATCCACTGATCCTCTATGGAGTTAAAGTATTTGACAACTAATTCCTTAGGATACCATACATCCTAGTTCTGCTCACTGAGAGTGATGAAGGCATTTACTGAAGGCTTCCCAAAAATAAGCTCTCCAGTTTCTGGGAAAGCTTTCTCTCCTAAGAGGTGGCCAAAGAACCGTGTGGTCCTTTGAGTAGTAGGCAGTCATTTCACAACCACCAAAGGGAGACAGCCTTAGGATTAGCCTTAGGACAAGGCTGATATTATGAAGGGAATGGATACGGTAAACAAAGTGGACAGATCCTCAATGACATCATTGAACCAATAAAGCAAATGAACCTTGAAGCCCAGCATAATTCTTGATTTCTAGTTATGGCTGAATCAATACGTCTCCATTAATATTTTTCATCGTTTGAACTGCATTGCCTATAACTTTCCAGTTTATCCTAGGTGACAGCAGTCTGTAATTACTTAACTTACTAACAGTATTTTTTCAAGACATGGTGTTACTTTGTGCTGGTTAAGCACCCAAAATATATGTAACGATAAGTACTACTATGAAAAATTCCCAGCAAATGAGAGTCTATCCTTAGAATCCTTTATCAGGGTTTTCAAATGGCCAGGAAAAATTCTGATGGCATTTACTTACAGAGTTAATCAAGTTAGAGAAAAAAGAGCAATACTCTGGAGAGTATAACCATATCTCTTCCAAGCAATTCTAAAAGCTGTGATCAAGGCTTCTCATTTAGATTCATTCTCCTATTGGCAAATGGTTGAAATACGCTCTTTGTCACCAAAATTGCCCCCTCTTCACATAATACAGATAAATATCAAAGACCATAAGGGTATAAAAATGTTTGAATAACTACTGTGGAATAGCCCTATTTCTCTATGTTTCTAAATAGGTATTCATTCATTCAATCCGGAAATATAATTTAATAAATATCTACATCTACAAAAGCCAGGGAATGTCCTGTCTTTGTTTTGAATAATAATTATCATTCCTTAGCCTTGACTAATATTAGAAGGATGCCTCTGTTGTAGTAGTTTAATTGATAAAAATGTTCCTCTACTACTCTCTCTAATACCATTTAAGAAATCTTCAAGAACATGTGGTATTCACAAATCTTTCCTTGATTTTGAACCCAAGCTTTTGACCTTGCCCATTCTTACACAGATGATGTTTACATTAATAGCAACCCATAATCATTCCTTACCCTCTAAGTGAGTAGGTGTTACTTCCTGGAAATATTTCTGTGAGGTGCTATTTCCTGGAATCCTCATTTAATTTCTCAATTTTACCTTTTTAGTTTTAGCCACGGAGAGACCGCTTTCCTGCCTTACCATCTGGCTTGACCCTGAATTAACAGAATGGTCTTTATATTATGTAGTTTATAACAAGATGATTAGTCATTTCATGAAATCATTTCCCAGATTAGTCACTAGACTAACCTGTGTAGCACACAAAATTAACAATATGCGAAGTATATGGTAAGACTAAAATCAGTTTGCTTAACAAAAACTGGAAACTACTCCAAGTAATAGAAGATACATTTTATTTATTTACTTACTTACCAACTTATTTATTTATTACTATGACAGAACAACAAGGCTAGTTTTTATAATTTGGGCCTTTCTACGGGGGAAAGCCATTTAGTCCTGTGGAATTCAAAGGAGGCACTTGGGTAATAATAGCGATGAAGATAATGATAACTACAATAACAGCAACTAATTAAAATGATTTTTTAAAAGTTAGAAATTCATAAAATGAAGGTAGAAGTAGTTGAACAGAGGTAAGTATCACTTTTAAATCCAGGCATCTGAATTCCAAAAATGTAAACAAAATAATTATCCATGCTGAAAAGCTAATGGCCAAAATAACAAAGTAGGGAGCCTAGGACGCTAGGAGAACCACGTATGAAAGCGTTTTTCTAATGGGTAAAGATGTACCTTTTCCATGGGCACAGGAAGCAATGCCAGTCACCCCCATTCATCAACTAGCCCCGGCCATCATATTAGCCATTATTTGCTCCATACAGACACACAAAATCAGGTTTGTACTCCCAGATGGTATATAAATTCAAAGGTTAGTTGTTTTTTTAAACTACATAAATGACTTGCTACAGATAAGAAGCAGCTCTGTAACATGTTTCAGTTTACTAAAATACAGATCCAAAATGCAGCCTTCCGGACAGTCTGAAAAAAAATTTCATCTGAGCCATAGAAAACAGGAAAAGTCTTCAGAGAAACTATTACACTTGATTTCTGACCTAAGTGCATTATTTTTAAGTGAATTCTTTATTTCTATTTCTCTAGAACAAAAGTAAACACCACAGATATGGTTACTGCATATTCTGGTACCTTTATAGAACACACTCTAAGCCAAAAAGCCCAAAGTAGCTCCAGTCTCCCCATGGGACAGGGAAATCAAAGTGAGAGCCAAGTTTGATCTCATTCCAGATTTGAATCACCTGTGGAGGCCAAATTCACCTGGTACTTTCTGACACCGCAGAGAGGCCCACAGAGGTCAAGCTAGATGCTCGGTTCCTAGTGGCTTGACATGTTCCCAAAAGAGTGCCCATTATTTTTATTTCCCTAAATACTAGAAGGTGAGAAGGGCTGCATCTGATGACCATGACAAAAGATATGTTTGTTTTTGTTTTACCTATTGTAATACTCTATCACCACAGAACAAAAGTTAGAATATTAGTTATAGATATGTCATATATTGTAAAATAATTATAAATGGATGACATGTCTTCAAAGAGAATTCAGTATTGAAAACAGTGACAGAAAAAGCAATAGCAATGCTCGTTTATTTACAAATATGAAAATAATTGTCAATAAATGTGTACATCAAAGTGGTTATTATACATACTCTGTCCAAAATATATACCTTTTCAAAATATCTCATATTTTAAAAACTATCAGAAATGTCACTTGAACCTTTTTTCACATATATGTGATTTCAAAACTTTTAACAGATTAAAAACAACTGAGCAGGTGTGTTCATAGAGACCATTAATTCCTTTAACAAGCTTATATAATATAGGGGGAGGGAGAAGAAACATGTTATCTAGAGACTTGGACTTGAAGGGAATAAGGTAGAATTGAGATGACATTTTCAGGATCCAGAGAGACCTTCATTTTTAAGATGGAAGGGATTTAAGCTTATCTGTTCCCCTTGACAGTCTGGGTGAAGGGAGGAGAGAAAGTACCTCTTCATTCATCACTGTTGGCATTTTGCCAACCAGGTACAGCAGAAAAATGAATGAGAAAGGGAGTTGTATTATTCAGGGCTCTCCAGAGAAACCAAACCAATAGGACAGATATAGATATAGATATGAAGGTTTTATATATACATATATATGAGTATGTGTGACAGGCTTATTATAGGAATTGGATCACACAATTATGGAGGCCGAGAAGTCCCACAATCTGCCATCTGCAAGCTGAAGAACCAGGAAAGTTAGTGGCATAATTCAGTCTGAGTCCAAATGCCTGCTAACCCAGAAGGGATCTGATGGTGTAATTCTCAGTATGAGTACAAAGGCCCAAGAACCAGAAGTATCAATATCCCGGGGAAGGAGAAGATAGATGTCTCAAACAGGAATCATATTCCCCTATTCTCTGCCTTTTATTTTATTCCGGCAATCAAAGAACTGGCTGATGCCCAACATGATTGGTGAGTATAGATCTTCTTTACTGAGTTTACTAATTCAAAAGCTAACCTTCTCCAGAAACACCCTTGCAGACACACCTCAAAATAATGTTTTACTAGGTCTTTGGTCATCCCTCGGCCCAGTCAAGATGACACATAAGATTAACCATCATAGGAGTCAAAGTTGATATAGAATGCAGAGATGATCTCCTTATTGTATGAGATGGGTTATACACAGGAACTCAAAAACCACCAGGTGTGATGGTGAGATGTAGATTGGGGCAGAAGACTATGAGCTATGCACCAGTATCGTAATTGAACATACAAAGTGGCCTACAGATCAGTAGATGACAGTAGAGAGGAGGAGTAGAAAGACATCCAGTTAAATGCTCTAAGAAGGAGTGATTTACCTCTTTAGAAGGAAGTGTCAGAAGTATTATGATACTTATGAGGCCCATAGGAAGTAAAGTGCTATTAGAGAAAGTGTCAAAGTTTATGGATGATTTTTAAAAGAAATGAAGTGGATTGAATGTTGTTTCATTTCACAATGATACAATTCTCATGTAAATCCCAATCTGCTTTCATAATGGAAAAGGGGTTGGCACTGTCACTACTGGGTTCAGAATTGTGCTTGGAAGTGCATGAATATTATCCTTCATTCGATGCTGGCCTAGGGACCTAGGATGACACTCAGCTTGCCTCCAATCTCTGTGATAGATAGAGCTGTGAAAAAAAAAAAAAAAAAAAAAAAAAGAGGCTCCTATACAGATTAACAAATGACAACAGAAGAGGGGGCTATCGGAGGAAAAGTTTGTGGAAAAAAAGGGAGCCCTGGAGAAGATCATCTACACATGAATAAAACAATAAAACTTCAGATAGCAATCTTGACAAAATGGACTTGTATGGGCAATGAAAACACTGATATAAGATATCTGTCATGCCATGATAGGAAAAAGTTTGCAGTTTTTTTGTGGGGCTAAAGGATTGTCTTATGGACAGTGGTGAGAGGTTGATGTGGAGTCTATGAAGAAAACCTATCCCATTTGATAGGAATTAGTTACTTCTCCAAAGCCCAATCTCATTACAGACAGGGTAAGAAATCCTCTTCTTGCCCATTATCTAGTGGGTTGAAGAATTCAGGAGTATTATTTCCTGGTCCGTCAAATTAGACTTTGTGACTTCCAGTTAGAAAACTGTATATTGTGAAGAACACTGTAAATATAAATTTTAAACTATTAGAATTATTCTAAGAGCCATTATTATATGCTAAATTGCACCCACCCCTCAAGAAAAATTATAGTTGAAGTCCTAACCCTCAGTACCTCAGAATGTGACTGTATTTAGGGACAGGATGTTTATAGGGTCAATTAAGTTAAAATGAGGTCATTAGTGTGGGCCCTTTAGATACAGACAGGTATATAGGAAAGATTATGTGAAAACACACTACAAGCTAAGGAGAAAAGTCTGAGGGAGCCAACCCTGCCAACACTTTAATCAAGGGCTTCTAGCCTCCAGAACTGTGAAAAAAATTAAAATTGTGTTGTTAAGCTACTTAGTCTGTTAGTTTTCTAGGAGTTCTGTAAGAGCCTGTTCAGAATTGTCAGACTGTTACAGCAGTCCTAGTATATTTATACAGGAATTTATACTGTTGGTCTATGTTATTGATGCTGCCTCTGGATTAATCACTGGGTAGATTTCCACAACAAAGCTTAAGTGAACACAATGTGAAGATCGTTTTGAGGCCCAAAGTACAGCACATATAACCTTTCTGACTCAACTTTCTTTCATTCTTTTTCTTTTTCTTTCTTTCTTTTTTTTCTTCAGAGAGGGTCTCACTCTGTTGCCCAGGCTGGACTGCAGTGGTGTGACCATGGCTCATTGTAGTCTTGACCTCCCAGGCTCAGGTGATCCACCCACCTTAGCCTCCCAGGTAGCTGGGACTACAGGTGTGCCCCACCACACTCAGCTATTTTTTTTTTTTTGTTAGAGATGGCATTTTGCCATGTTGCCCCAGCTGGTCTTGAACTCCTGGACTCAAGCAATCCATCTGACTCGGCCTCCCAAAGTGCTGGGATTATAGATGTGAGCCACTGCACCTGGTTCTAACTCAGTTTTCTGAAAATTTCATCCGATTCAGACATGGAACTAACATCTGACATATAATTAGTGCATACTATACCACATCTTTCTACATCTGATATTAGAATAATATAGTACTATACTGAAATAACTTAATCATTTTTTCAAAGACATGGGCTTTTTTTATCATGTTGCTATTTGACATATCCGATTATGACATTAATTTCAAGCATCTCCATAATAATGAAGGAAAAGATATTTAAAACACTCCTACAAATTTCTTCCATTGTGCCATTAACATTTACTACATATTGTAAGATAATATACCATAGAATATAATTTCTGTTTTAATGAGCACAGATTTAACATTTTATATTGTGACACTATAGAAAACTATTACTTTATCATACTTTTTATGAGGACAGAGAAGAAAATATATTTGATAAAACTTAAAGTATACTTATTGTAAAGATATATTTGATACAATTCAAGAAAATAAAGCAAAAGCAACTAAATTTGGATTGAGTTGTAGTTTTCTTTGGATTATAAAGCACCAATGTGCTTTATAGCACATTCAAAGAATATTATATAATAGAGATACAGAATGCTTCCTCCTTTTTTAATACATTACTGTCAGGTATTTACATTTAATATGCAACATAGTTACTAAGTCTTCAGTTGGTATAACAATGACAAAATTACCAGTAGCATTCTATATGTATCTTGAAAATAATAACAGTATAAATTGTTCTTTATTCTAATAGTTCTCTGTTTTATTAAAAAATACACAAGTTTATTGTATTGGTCAAATCCCATTGCAACAGACATGGGCCATTTGCTATTAAACACCATACAGTTGGCCTTCTATGTCCATGGGTTCTGCACTTATGGATTCAACAAACCGTGGACAGAAAATATTTGAGAAAAAATAGATGGTTGTGTCTGTGCTTACCATGTATAGACATTTTTGTTGTCAGTATTTCCTAAACAATACAGTGTAACAACTTTTACATTGCATTTACATTGTATTAGGCACTCTAAGTAGTCTAGAGATGATGAAATATATACAAAAGTATGTGTGTAGGTTATACGCAAATACTACACCACTTTATATAAGGGACTTAAGCATCCCTGGATTTTGGTATTTGCAGGGATGTGAGGGAGTCTTTGAACTAAGCCCCCATGGATACTGAAGGTCAATTGTAAAAAGAAATATAATAAAAATATGAATATTTTGAATACAAATAAATTGTAGCAGAATAACCAATATCAACTATTTAGATGAGATGTATCTATCAATACAAGAAGGGTCCAAGTTGATTTCTGTGGATCCCTTCAAAAACCTTTGCCTTCTTAGTTGCTACTGGTCTCTGAAATTAGAGGCAACTATATATTTATTGAAGGACTCCTGAAACAGCAGCTGAGGCTCTTATGTGAGGGGGATTAATCAATCAAGGGATCATGCTAGTTTCATTGTAAGTGATGTTAGCAGTACCCTGCAAGTTACATTAAAGACAAGACAGACTCATACCAAGAAAAAAGTTCAATAAAAGTATTAAAAATAGCATCAGCAACAAGTTACTTAAGGAAAACATAAATATAATACATCCGCACACTGCGTGTTCTCACTCGTAAGTGAGAGATGAACAATGAGAACACATGGACACAGGGAGGGGAACATCACACACCGGAGCCTGTTGGGGGACCGGGGGAGGGGAGGAAAAGCATTAGGACAAATACCTAATGCATGAGGGACTTAAAACCTAGATGATGGGTTGATGGGTGCAGCAAACCACCATGGCACATGTATACCTGTGTAACAAACCTGCTCGTTCTGCACAAATATCGCAGAACTTAAAGTAAAATAAAAATAAAAATAAAAACATCCATTTTTGATGTCTGTTTATTCTTTTACTCATTCAAGATATATTTATGTGTGGCTAGTTTCTGACAGACTCTTTGCTTCTTGTTATATAGTGCTACATAGATCTTTAGTGACTTTTAAAGCTATTTTATCTTTGTATTAGTTCAGAATTCTGTAACATAGCATTTCCTCAAGAGACACCCCAAAGTCCAACTATGGTCATTCTTTGAAATCACCCTAATCAATGTGTAATTCATAATTATACAATTATTTTATGATTTAGAAACATTCTAAGTGTAACAAATTGGATTAACCTAGGACTTTAGACACTAATTGACTTAATTAATAAACCCTATCCACACCAGTATGCATCTCCATAAATTATTATTTCTTCTATTTTCACATTTAATTGACTATAAAACATGCTAATACATAAGTGAAGATCTAAGGCAGAACACACACACACACACACAGACACACACACACCTGTGTTTTTTGTGAAGTAAATGAAGCAATCAAAATACACCTTGAGGGAAATCCTATTGTCCTTTAAATAACACAACCTTAGAAACAGTTTTAGGATATTTTAAATATCATACAATCAAATATCTACTGCCAAATAGAAATATCGAATAAATGATAAAAGCTACTCTTTCATCTAATGGGAAGATAGCATAGGAATTAAAATACTGGCTCTGGATATTTTCCTCCTTCACCAATTCCTTGGTTTATGAACTTGGGCTCATTATTCAACCTCTGAGCCTCATCTTCCTCATCTCTAAAATGGAATGATAATCATTCCTATCTCATAGTATCGGTAATGGTTTATCCTTTGAGTTTTACGACTTAAACCTTTACATTCCCACTATCAAACACTAGGCTTTTATTTATTAGAAAGACTTTTAGTGAAATGCCATGATTATTAAAATACAGTCACCATTTGCTTCAAATGGTTCTTAGTTGCATTTCATGTCTACAGTTAATTTTAGGTGATTTGCGGAATACAGAAAAAAAAACATAGTAAAGTCACAAGCATTGATGGGACAGGAACAATGTCTGAAACTGCCTCTACAATAGTATCTTATTCTACATGACATATAACAATAATTCTCTAGATATTGTTTGAAAATAGAATCTTAAAAGTCTAGCTTTGAACTATATTTATGTCCTTATATTACCACAAGATTCTGGAATCCATCATGAGCCCATTTGGCCCATTTTGCTTTGAGAAAAAAACGAGGCAAGGTGTTGAATACTCATAAGCTGATACCCACGCACTGATGGCTGATCTGACTTGGGGCTGGAAGCTGCTGCAGGGTAGGGTATTGTTACTTAGTTTGACCCTTGCAAAAGCATCTCTCTCTTCCAAAGCTAACAATTTCATCCAAAGTTCCAAACACCTAAGCATACTTTATAGAATTTTAAAGCTGTGAGGAAATTCAGTCTGGCCTCTTTTAATCTTACAGTTTTACAGATAAGAAAGCTGGGCCAGAACTACACTCAACCTTATGTCTTTTGGATCCTGGACAGTGTTCTTTCTATAAGACGAGTGTTCTTTCCAGAAGAACCAGAAACAGCTGGTACAGAGCTACAGAATGGAAAGTTTAAAAAAAATAGAAAAATTGGGAAAAACGAAGATATAAATGCATAAGAATACCATCATTCTTGATGAGATGAGGAAATATGACTAAAAATCTATGGGAGACGAATTTGAACAAAGTAGACAACAAGAGGGGAAAAAGGAAACAAACCTTGAAGAAGAGAAGCATAGGAAAGAAAGATGAATCAATTAATGAAGGTAGAGGAAAGACAGTAAAGGATAAAAAAGAAAAGGTCAAAGAATGGTGAGCTTGGTGAGCTTAGATGTCATCCATATTAAGAAAAAAAGTTACATTTCTGTAATTGGGATCTAATTATTAAGATCTAATCTATTATTAATCATTTTTAAATGTATTTGACTTACCAATGTTGCTAAAGATAATTAAATATCCATAACAATTCTTGCTATAAAACTCTTGTATTTCAACTGTGATTTACCACGTAATTCTCTAATAGAATGATATTAAGAATCTTGTCTGTATTATCAAACAAATAAGATTAAAAAATAGTAAAGGCATATTATATGTCAGATTATCTAGAAATGTTTGAGTTCTGTAGTTGACTTATATTTCTATTAACAAGTTTTTAAAATTGTTTTACCATTTAGAGTTTCATTAAAATTAGAATGTTTCACCCAAAATTATTTTTCTTAATTGGCAAGATTTTTAAATAATATGCATAGCAACATTTATATTAACCAAATAGGAATTTCGTATCAAGAAAATCTTGTTTTTATTTTAATAGGCATTTATAGATAATCTCTAACAAATTACTTACCCTGTGCCATTTAATCAACCCTAGCATTACTCACATACCTCTGCCACTAACTTCACCACAGGTGGTTGTTGAAGTCAACACTATGGCAATTGACAAAGTATATTTTAGTGAACTACCTTGCTTGAGGTATAAAATACTCATCTATAAGTTTGTCAGATATTTTCCAATGATAGATATCTATTATTTGGAGAAATTTTCTAAGACTTCCTTTTTATACAATCTTATATATGTCTGAATGCCAACTTTCAAGGTTGAAACTGTTGCCATAGTGTGAAAGTGGCTGGGGTGAAAGCATTAACTACTGATCAATCAATGGAATAAACTGGTAGTGCTAATGTATGAAGGACAGTATAAAATGCAAAAATGAGTGAGAATGTGTCTTACTCTTTTCCTCTCATACAAAACATATACGTATATGCGTGTGTATATGTATGTATATGTATCTATATGTGTGCGTATTGTATAGACATATGGATACACATACATACATACATACATGTACCTTATCCTTCAAAGGAAGCCCCTGAAACACACCAGAAAACAAAAGTATAATTTCAATTATATATAAACTGTTTATAGGTCACAGAGTGACCTTAATGTTAATTATGTTTTTCATAAACAATATTTACAAAATATTACTTGGTTTAAATGGCTGTTAGTAAAGCAAGATTACAGTTACATCAGGACCTAAGGCATATATAAACCATTGCATTTATTTTTTATTTTATAGCTTATTTATTTAATTTTTAATTGATACCTTGTAATTCTACGTTTATGGGCTAAAATCTGATATTTCAATACATATCTGTGTTGTATACTGATACAATCAAGGTAGAGTGAACCCATAACCTGGTGAGAACCTTCAAAAGCCTCTCTTCCACTCACCCTACAGTACAATAGAACACCAGAATGTATTCCTCCTCATTGTAGCTTTGTCCCTTTTGACCAACCACTCTCTATCCTTCCCTCCCTTCCCCTCTCTCCATCCAGTCTCTGATAACCTTTGTTCTAGTCTCTGCTTCTATGATACCAGGTTTTTTTTCTCTTTTTAGATTCCACTTATGAATGAGGTCATGTGGTATTTGTTTTTCTGTGTCTGGCTTATTTCACACCTAACATGATGTTATCCTGGTTCATCTATGAAATTGCAAATGACAGGATTTCACTATTTTACGGCTGAATAGTATTCCATTGTGTATATATACCACGTTTTCTTTATCCACTCATCTATTATTGGACACTTAGTTTGATTCCGTATTCTATCATAAATAACACTGCAATAAACAGCAGACTGCAGAGATATCTTTGACATAATGATTCTATTTCCATTGACTATACACTCAGTAATAGGATTATTCTAAATGTATAAAAATGTGTCTATATACCACATTTATTTTATCCATTCATCCAATGTTGGATACTTAGGTTGATTCTATATCATGGCTATTGCAAATAGCACTGCAATAAACATCAGAGTGCAGATATCTCCTTGATATGATGATTCCATTTCCTTTGACTATATACAAAATAACAGGATTATTCTAAAATTGTATTTATTTTCTATTAAAATACATGTGAATTAGTTGATTTAAAATTACTCCTGATAAATTATTTTAAACTAAAAATTTTACATGTATATGACTGTCTACATCATAATTGCTTAAAATTGCATAATAGGAGTACAATACAGTATGTTTAAAAATCATTAAAAAATTATTATAAATCTATGAGTAATCAATTATCTTTGTGAATAAAATGTAAATTGCTGTTTGTGAAAACTATAAAAACTATAACTATGCAGCCAAATATTAAAAAGGTATAATGTGATTCTAGGTCAAATATAACACAAAATAACTCTTAATAAGTATATTACTCATCTTTATTTGAAATAAGGCTACTGATGAGAATTTAATATTTTTGACATTTGTCATAAGTCTACAGTAGTCCCACTTCCATATGGTATAATACAGATATAAGCTGTACTTTAAGAATTGAACTATTCACACCCTCAAAAGCCACAAAATCAGATGGTTTGTGGTTTTTGCAGCTGGTGTACTGTACTCATTTTGCGTAGTGTCATATGAAAAATATTTCACTCCCTAAGCCCTAAACAGAATCGGCCATTAATGAAATGCAGGCAGTACAATGAGATCATATAAAGTATAGATTTCAACAGCCATACTAGGAACACTAAAGAAATTCAGAACATGAACACAAATCAAGTTCTTACTGCCAGAAAAGAAAGAAAGAAAAAGCATTAAGGAATGCCTTTGCAGACTTAGCATTTGCTTTGAAAACAACTGTTAACCACTACCTTGAAAGAAGTTTTAGTTTAAGCTTATGGAGACTAAATAATTGTAAGTTGGGTATAGAATAACAGTAAATAACTTCAGACCTAATGATACATTACAAGATTATTCACCAAAATATACAACTATCAAAATCATAAAATGATTTCCCTCATGCCACATAAGGAATTTGCTTACTTTAATAGGCTGTCACCAGTCTACACAATTTTAAAATAATGTCTTATTTTGGACACATCCAATTTCACTATTGCTTATTTTTACTCAAATATTTTAAGAAAACTATACAATTCAACTAAAGTATTGCAACATATTATTTTAATGGAAACTGTTGCAAAAATTGTATTTTCAGTATCCCTATTTGTTAAAAAAGAAATAAAAAAATTGTTTTATATTTCTTGTCACAACAAATCGTCCTCACTCTAAAGTAAAGTAACTTCAAATATTTTCACTTCCAATCCATTTTTCCATTTATACAATTCTTTTTAAATGCACTTTTTTATAAATAAATTTTTATAAAATGAAAAGGGAAATGGTGGTTTAAAAAAAGAATGCACAGCATGTGAGCTTTAATTTGTGTATGTCCACTAGATCGTGTAAAATTTGGATGCTTTAATATCATTTTGTTATGTCTGCTCATACTAGGCAATATAAAAGAAACTGAACAGATGATTATTTTACCGTTATTTTAAGCCCTAATGTAAACAGTTTGCATTTAGTTCACAAGAATTCAATCAAAATTTGGAAGGCCTATATTTATGTAACAATTTTATGATCTTAAACATTGGTTAACAGAATAACTACTCTATGTATGTATCTCTTAAGAAAATATGTCTACGGTCAATCTGAGAAAGCTCTACATTTCTCTACATCTGTTATCCATAAAATCTTTATGTCTCAGGCATGCCACCTGGCACTAAACCCCAGATTACATTTGAAACACTGATTAACCGAAATAGTCCACAGTGCCCTAATACAATGTGGAAACGTCTCAGATGAAGAGTAAACGTGTATCACACCATGCTTTCCAACCAATGTTGGCATACAATGGGGAATCGTCTTCTTGCTAAGGAGCGCTGTGCTGTATTATATGTCTTTGTATCTTTGTAACATGTCATTTTGTACAACAAAGAACAGAGCTACAGTTTAAAGTTTTTAAAGTGGGTATAGGGTTTTTCTACTACCCCACTTCCCCCGTCATTGTCATGAGCTTAGATATTGATGAGTATCATAGAACCGAAGCCAAAAATCACAGGTGTAGCATGCTGTTAGTACAATGCACGTATCTTGTGTAATCAACATGTTGTATAGTTCTTTTATATAGGTACTATAACAACAGATGTCCAATTTGATAAACAAATATTGACCAAGAATTATATACAAGGTAATGTTCTAGGCATGTATCAATGAAGGAAACAGACAAAAATCACTGCTGTTTGCTGATATTCTAGAGGAGGGAGATAGTCAGAAAAAAATTAATGTGCAAAAATCCCTGCTCTCATGAGGCTTACATTCTAGTGTGAGGTGGAGGTGGGGGTGAGGAAGACAATAAACATCATAAATGAGTAAATTATATAGAATATTTGCGGATAAATAGAATGGTTAGAAAATAGCAAGTTGAACTGGGAAAACCAGGGAAGGAATGGCTACTGTATTTTTAAGTAAAATGGCCAGGCAGTTGTATTAAGAAGGTGACATTGAGCAAATTTCTGAAGAAAGTAAAGGAATTAGCCATGCAGCTATCTCAAAGAAATACATTCAAGGTGGAAGCAATAGACAGCACAAAGGCCCTAAGCTAAGAGAAGTGCATATGCAAATTAAATATCACCATTCAGTCAAGAACAATCTTCTTAAGGGTGAGTTAACTGATAGTTTTAAAAAACTGTGGCATAATATAAATCATTATTGGTTTCATTTTCTATGTAACTAACACTTATTAAACAATGTAAGGAAGTAGAGAATTTAATAGTACAATGAGCCTAACTCTATCTCTCTTTTCCTCCCTTTCTTCACCAATTCACTTTATTCCCTGCCCTTCTGCATTATCCCTCCCTTTTTGTAGTGTTTTCATCCCACATAAATGAGCAGCAATGTAGCCAGTAAAAACACAGTGAGCTTTGAGTAAGTATGAAATAATTTTATTTTTAATTGTTTTCCTTACCTGCTGGGTTACTTGGTTTACTTGCCTTTCTAAGCAAAATTTACATCAACAACACAGGAGTGGTGGCAAGGAATAAGATGTAGAAGATGTAGGGAGGGTAATCCCTTTAAAATTGCTGAGAAAAAAAATGTGCTGTAATTATGGGGAAGTGTTTGTAAACCATGAAGTATTATACAAATGGCATTCATACAGACAATACTTAGTTCTAGAGATGACATTAAAAACAAACAATACTTGCTAATCCCCAAATTATGGTGTAGGGATAAGGAGAAAAGTACAGTAAAGTTACTGCTTTATAAATTATCTTTAAAATTAGCTTATATCATCAAAATTCAGTTGTCAGTATTTTAAGCATTTTTAGATTTCTGAACATTTCTTCTCTAAAGAGTGTGAGAACATAGTAAACTTTTCTTTAAGTAAATTGGTTTGATATGACAAGTTAAAATCAATAAAATATTATGACTGCATAGTTCATTATCATATAACCATTAATCATTTCTCTAGAAACCCTTTTTTAACCTCCCTAAAATTTATTTTCAATATTGGCATAGAGGAGATGAACTGAGAATATAGTTAAAGACAGAAGACTGTTGAAAGGACAAGCTTTTGACAGGAATAACCACAGTGGACAGAAAATAACTTTGATGTGAAACAAATACACTTTTGAGATTCACCTATCAATCAAGCTCTTTCGAATCTGAAACCAGTTTGACAACAGCTATTCAAAGCCTTCAAAATGGGTGTCATTTAACCTCATAATTAACTCTTAGTTATTTAGCTAACTTCTAGGTATTTATCTAAAGTATTTTCTCATTTTTATAAGTAAATATGTTTATAAATGTAATAAGATAAAATATGAAAAGGTCCAATGATTAGGAAAGTCTGTATTCAGGAATTAAGATATGATAGGCTATTCTTGGAACTATAACTATATTGAATAAACTTTTATGTTTAAGTATTTAAGAGGTATTATATAAATACTATCATGTGTAATACTATATTATTATAGACAAATTTGGAGATTTAGATGATTTTGTATTACTTATATAATAATTTACATTTAAAACCACTGAAAGTTTATTGATTTGAACTTCATAAAATAAAAGGAATAGTCAAAATGGAAGTTATTGGTTGGTCTTTCCAAGTTCAAGAAGGTTCTTTCCTGTTACTCAAGTAACAGCAATAACACCTTAAAAAACTTTGTGAATCAATGAGCAGTAACACCTTACACTTATTTAAAGCCTTTGGCAGGGAATATTACAGCCTCAAAGGACTTAGTTACCCATTTTATCGAGGTGCAAAATGAGGCATAAAGAAGGTTGGGTCCCCGGACAGGAATAGAACCCTAAATTCCTGATAATCAGCTTCCAATCTAGCCATAAGAATCAAGTAGACTTTGGCAGTGGTTCCTTTGAGCAGTCAAAACTACTGTCAGGTGGATAAGTTTATGAGCAGACTATAAAATGTCATTTTGGCCTGGAAGTTGATTCAGTCAAAGTGTAAACCATAAAGGTGAAGAAGGGGAAAAGATTCCTTAAAATGGTGTAGTTAGCTAATGAGGGAATGAACGTATCTTTCTTTAGGTTAGGAAGAAAAAAATGAGACCTAGAAAATAAAATATAAAGAAGTTCTCCAGTGAAAGAAATAGAGAAATGAAAATTACCTGATGGATCATTATTTCTGATTACTACAGTTAGTAGTTATAGGCCATCAACACCTACTGGCATTTGTTTAAATAATGAATTATTTTTAAACACATTTGATGTTCATATTAGGGAAATCATCCTCCTGGGCATGCTGTTAGATTTTTTGTTTGTTTTTAAACAACCCTGGAGATATCAATTTATCTGTCTTGTCTTCTTTTTGTATGTCTATTTATCTATCTCCATTTATTTAATCAATCATAAGATTGTTCCCAAACATACTATATATGTTTTTGCTACATGTCAGACACTACATGATAATACTCACTCTTTGGGGGCAACTGAAAAATAAAGACGATGTCTTACTGAGTTAGAAAACATTGCATTTAGGCATATTTTATACCATTCTAACGGTCAGCCTCATCCTTGCTTATTAATATCTTGGCTGCTGCTAAATATATGATAGTTCTGAGGATCCTGACATTACTTGATTTTAAGAAGAAGAAAATAAAGGATACATCAATTTTAAAATGATATAGTTCAGAGTATGTGGTATGCGATTATTCAGTGCTAAGTAATAATTTATGCTTTCCAGATAAATAAGTTAAAACGAAGTGCAGATTTCATTTATTTTCTCAGTCATCAGAATATTTTTTTAAAATAAAAAGCTTAACTACAGTACATTAAGCACTTAGCTTACCTCTAAGGATATTTTAGATTTTAAGTAGGGGGGCTTAATTAAAATGAAAATATGTATTCAAATATCATCCATTAAGATAATCCATCCAAACACAGAATGTTTAAGGGATCCTTGAAGCTCATAAGGTTACACTGATTTTTACAAGAATAAGTTAACACTCTAGAAGTTTAATTCTTAGGGTGGTGTTGCAACACAGTGGGGGTGCAATCACAGGGAGTAATATTTTAATTGCAAAATAAATGTGACAAATATCCAACTTTTATAACTGTAAACTTCAAAAAGTATTATCGACAAATGCTACTGACTACAAAATCACACCACAGTGGTTAGAGGACCTCCAAGTCTTATATTGTACAAAGTTAGGTGAGGCACTTTGCAAAATTATTTTGCAAAAAAGGTTGAAAATGTCAACCTTTAATAGCAAGTTTGAATTAAAATAGTTATGTACCTGAATTTTAAGACCAAAATTAACAAAATATATGGCAAATATTTAATTGAATGATATGGAAAGTAATCAAAGAAAATATATTTACCATCTATTTTGGCACATTTTTTCTGTGACCACAACACAAGGGCTAATATATTCTTTATGTCCCTTAGTGTGTCTATACATGCATTTAATTATAAGTCATACTTTTTCCAGGTGATATGGCAACACATAGATGCCCTCATAATAAAAGCTACTCAGTCTCTAATTTACTGACATCATCATCTTCACAATTTCAAGTGAAACCAAGCAATTATATAAAACAGCATTGTGGGATCAGAAGAAATCACTATCACATGGTTTCTTATTAAGCTCTAACCCAAATAAAATACAGGTTTTCCTAGCATTTCCTTAATTAAATTATTGGGTTTAAATGGTTTTGGAGGTTTTTTTTGACTGAATTGATTATAGAGATTGGACACTACCAGTTGCTATTTAAAGTCAAATGGCCAACTGAAAATGACTCCTTTTTTAAATATTTTTATTGTGCCAAACAACTTGCTGAGCAAAAGCAAGGCAAAGCAAACTACTGCAGAAACATAAACTCAATTATATTCACCTACTACATAAAATATTAAAAAGTATAAGAATCCCTATCTTGTAAAAGACCTTTGTATAAATGAGCTTTAATTCTAGGTAATCATAAAAAAACTGTATCTTACTCTGACTTTAAAAGAGCAACAGATTCCAAAAAAAGGGGAAATTGGATGCTTTTAACACAGGGATTTGTAAATACAGTCACAAAAATAGTTATGAACTCACAAAAAGGAATATAAGAATTAAAAAGTTATAACATGTCCTATACCAACGCAAGGATTTGATACTGGAGAATCAAGACACCTCTCTCAGGTTGATTATCTCATAAGGGTGTTACTAACACCACACCCAGCTGCTCCTGAAATAAAGTAAAGCTTCAGGAAATGTTCTGTTGGACCCATGATGTAGCAAAAAATCCAAACAGTAAAACTAAACATACGAAAGAAAAAGGGTAATTTCTACCAATCATTTACTTCCTTATGTTATCATCTGTCGAACTTCTAAAAAAAAGTTCACAAAAAGCAAAAGCAAAACAACACTAATTATATTCATTACTATATTGCTGATGATCATTTAAATCACATTTAATAACATTTAAATCATTCTTACTACATCAAAGTCTAAAGAGGGAATCACTAAGTTTATCACATTATCATATACCATGTTGCACTCAGTTTTATTAAGACAAAATCATGCTCTTAGTTTATAAACTTCAAACAACTGAAATACCACAACATTCATAAAACAGAACTGAGCCACTGGGAGTAAGAAAAAATACAGAAAAGGTTGCAGACCTCAACAGTAGATAGTAAAATTAACATTTCAACAGCTCTTGCCTTTCATCTCAGTCTCAATAGTACACTTTTTTCTGGAAAAGCTACAATTTAGTTTAGAAAGATGCAGAACTACATAAAACATCTGGAATATGGGACAAGAAATATTGGCTTATCATCCCTTGTGGACCCTCCCCATGAAAAATTTCATAGATCTGTTTTGGTAGTTTTAATCTCCAGAGCATGGAAAGCTATATTATAGAAACATCATCTTTGTCATTTATATTAGAAATAACACCTGGTGATTATGGCAAATATACCCTTTTAAATTGTGACTTTTTCTTTAATTATCAAACTTTTCATCAAATATGTATGTAGATGTGTGTGTGTGTGTGTGTGTGTGTGTGTGTGTGAACATCTTGACAAGAACTCAGTTTTTGTATTTTTGTGATTTGATCAGACTACACTCTTAGTGAATTTACCAAAAAATGCAATCCTTTCTTATGCTCTGCAAATAAATAATTTTGTCTTAATCTGACATTTACTTATTATGTATGACAGAGTAAAAGAAATTTTCAGGATATGAACCATAAAATATCATTTACATTGGTACTGGAAACATGACATTGATGATTTTTAAGTCAAAAATATTTTTTGATTTAGCACATTTTCTTATTTCATAGTTTTTAAATGATAATTTTAATATTTACTATTAGTAATAAAATGCTTTTAGTTAATACTAAAATAATATAGTTGAAAATAGTTAATAACTTTCAACATTAAATTTTGTTATTGAAAAGCTTATTATTGCTCATAAAAATTTTATACTGAGAGTGTGTGCATCCAGGGAGGATTGAATGATGAAGTCATTTGCCTTAAGAATTTATAAAAACTAAGTAATCTACAAAATTTCAATGTTACATTCTTTTATTGTAAGCTCATATTTTATTGTAAAAATTTAAAATTAAGTTTCAGTGTAAGTACTTGCATATTAAAATTAAAGAAAATTCCACATAATTGAAAATATAATAAAACTATATTTTAAGTGATCTACCTTTTAAAATTGGCACATTGTACCAAAGCTATGCTATCATTAATAACACTCAAAATATATAATAGGCCTCTACATATTCCAATTAAAAATAGAAGTCCTTAAAATATTTGAGTATTTATAGTCTATAAAGATTTTCAGGGACATTTTTATTAATTTGACACAGATATGCCTTCATTTCTAATGTTACAAACCTGTATCATTTTAAATGCAATTAAAAGTGGTTATGAAAGAGTGTGGACTTCCTTGTGAAGTAGGAAATCACTCTTGTGATTAACATGCAAACGAGCTCATGCTGGCAGAATAGATTGGGGTTTTAAAACCCCAATTACTTTTGTATGATTATCTATTTACCAGTACACAGTCTATTTTCATTTTTCATCTAATACAAAATCGGCTTGCTTACATTTTTAGCACAGCAATTAATATTTACAATAATTATGACATCAGGAACTGCTGAGAACTCCAAGTAAACCATTTACCCCAGTCTTTATTCTTTATATATGATTAATATCCTTTTATAACTTAATACTGTATGTGAGGTTATATTTATGCAAAAATAAAAATAAGAACCACTCTCCTCTTTGTTTTAAATTTAGTTATAATACATATTATTTTTAGAATATTAGTAAGATGACTATTACAGCATAAAAATCCAAAATTTTAAGTCTTATTAGAATATGTAAAAATAGTTGAATCGCTCATAGTAAGAAAAATAAATATATATTGAGAACAATAAAACGTGTCCCATGAATCTTTTCTTTTAAAAAGTAATAACAGACAATTCTAAACTTTCACTGACACACTTTGATTCATACCTGCTACGTACTGCACACATACACATTTTTCCAGACTTCTAAAGAAAATTATAATGCATTAATGACAGGAACCATGGTAATGGAAAAAAGGTCACCCTCTCTTGAACACCTTCTGTTTTAAACCATTATATATAAAGACATTCGAGAAAGCAAAGAATTAAAAGCCAGCCTTTGTGCAACCCATTACTGAAATATTATAGAATAATCTATATCAAATGTAGAGGAGCAGCAGATTCTTTTGGATCTAAATTAACTGCAGCCATAGAAACGCTTTTATGCTTATTATGTATCTGCATGTTGATTCAATTATTAAAAGAACACCTGACAGCATCAGACTTATTTAATTGAATTATTAAACTGGATGAATAATCACTGAATTCCTTTTGTGTGAAATTTGTCCTGAAAAGTAACACTGGCATTTGGAAATTGCAAGTGATTTGCATGGTGAAATACAGTGAACATGGAAATTTCCTATTTCAGTATTCTGGGTTTTTTTCTCCCCTCTTCTAAGACAAATGAACAGATTATTGTAGTGTATATTTTCTCTTCTACAGTACAGATTTATGAATACTTTTTGTTACTATACCATTAGGCAATGTTTCAACAATTTCCTCAATATCATTATTTAAATTTTTCTCTTATGTGAAAAGTATTATGCAAACTGTCACTTTCCCAAAGGAGGTGATAGGACACCAGTGTATTCTTGAAACTAGGGTGCAAGAAATCCTTATTTCAAGATGGATTTCTAGGAAAATGTATTTATTTATTGTCTTTATAATAAGATGTAACTATTTGTTTAAAGACAGACTTGAGAAATGATTACATAGAATAATATATCAGAATAGTTAGTTCTACTTTACACATTTCTTTTTGTAGGAGGAATTTATCTCCACTGTGATTAAAGGTTTAAGGTTTATGCCTAGTATATACCTTTAAGATTTTGGGGATGTCGTTAAGATAAATATTTGGAATTGGTTTACCTGCATGATTATTTTTCATATTTATTTTTAAAAGAATACAGTAAGAACACTTCACATGTATGTTTTCCCCCCGAGACAAGTTCACAGATGAATTAAAAGGAAAATTGTGCAAAGTATTTTTTCTGTCATATTAAAACAAATATAAACTGATCACATTTAAAAATATTCTTACAGCACTCACTTGCTGCACTTCCAAATTCTGGCCATTAGGTTCTTTAACATCACTAGAGGGGCATCATTTCAAGTCCATAGAGCTTTGTATCTTTTTTACCACACTCATGCCACTGGGAAGATGTATCTATATCCACTATTATTAATTCATTATTATAGATAAAATTTGGTGAAATCCTGATGCTTGGTTCATCTTTAAACATCCACATCTACATAGTACTTCACTATATATCACATCACATTTTGATCATTTTTTTTTCTTTTTTGTTAGGAATAGAAAATTATTGTACTCTCATTCCTGAGATGATAATCACTCCACACCATTTTTTCATGCCTATTATATAGGAAAGACTGTTTACCATAATAAATAATGGTAGTTGAAATCACACACCATTTAACATTTACATTTCTCAGATTAATGAACCCTTTAAATATTCAGGTTGGCCACATTTAAATTTTGTTCACTTTAAAATTGTGCTTGATCCCTTCAACCACTGATCCATGTACTTTTCAATATTATTTATACACTTTCTTTGCATTCTTCGGAAATAATTCCATGCAAATGGTCATATTTGCCACAGATAAATCTCATGTATGATACAGCGTTATTTCTTCCCAATTAAAACTGAAATATAACATAAAATATACTATTTTAAAAAATAGTTTGTAAAGCAACTCAAGTAATTAATGAAGCTGTTTTCCGTGTTACTAAAATTGTTAATATCTAGATAAATTGTTTCTTTGTGATCTAAATTATAGACATTATAGAAATGCAAGCTTTTACAAAACATTTTGTGAAAAATCTATGAATTCACTTTAGTACCCATATTAATAACCATAGTGGTTAGATTTTTATTTTACATAAATTATACAAAATACACTGGCATTATACCCCATTCTTAATACCAGTTTATTATAGCTTTATTTCATAATATTGGATGTGGAAATGGAAACAGTGCCATCATGTGATACTTTTCAGGGTACTTCACTTCTTATATTTTCAACGTCTGAGCATATAGCTACTATACAAATAAAGGAGTTCACAGGAAAGCAGAGAATGGCAGTATAACTCATCACCCAGTATTTTGCAACCATATCTAGTGCTCATGCTTTTGTGTAAAATATTAGGAACACCTTTAAAATCTTGAAAGATAAACAAGTATGAAGTCATACTTGGATTTCTATATATATATATATATATATATATATAGATTTCTATATATATAAAATATATATATACACACACACACACAGAGATATCCTTTATTTAAAAATCTACAAGTTGTACATTCTAGCTCACAAAACCTGATTCTCATTTATGATCATTTTCGATCTTTAAAAATTAAAGGTATCACTTCATAAATGAAGTAAATACATTATCTTAATTGACAAAAATCAGTTTGTTTGGAAGAAAAACTCATTTGGAATGTAAATATCAACTCCAACCCGATAAAACATTTATCTAAAATTTGAACCCAGTTTCTCTATGGGTTTTTTTTCCTTCTTCTTTTTTTTTAATCTCCAGTAAAGGGACATGGATTTTTTTCCACTAACTTGAGAACTATGTACCACAAACTAAATACTAGATTTGTCAGGAGTTACTTTATTTCTTTAAATTTCAACATCATCTTTGGAAACTATGTTAAATTTAAAAATCCATAATAATAATGCTTAAATATGAAAACTTACACTATAAATGATCCCTGCTCTATTTATCATTCTCTCTAGGGTCATTAAATTAACAGATTTTTTTTTTTTTTAGCTCAGAAGTTTGAATTTGGGAGCTACTTCCTTACCTCCTAGACTTATTCCAAACAAATATGAAATTACACTTTAAGGACAGGTGTGTATCTTTCAGACTCAAGCACTAATGGACACAGTTTTAACCCAGGAATACAGCATGCAATGAATGGATGATCATTTATTACTTTCAATGATACACAGTTGATCTACCGCACATTTCTTTTCTATTGAATGTATAATCCAAGGTATTTCAATTTAAAATTTTACCAGAAAGTGAGAAAACTAAAGAAGCATCTTAAACTACAATGCAAGACTTAAAAATATTGACTCTTAAAAAAGTATTTCTTAAAAAACTATCCTAAATCAAATAAGTTTGCATTTCCTTTGTGATATCCTGTAGTACAACACTCCAAATTTCATGCAAAATTGATTTAATGAAAGTAAGGAGAAGAAGCTACAGAGAACTTTTTTCCGCACCAAGTATAAATGTAGCTTTTTTTTTTTTTTAATTGAGATGGAGTCTCACTCGGTCACCCAAGCTGGAGGGCAGTGGTGTGATCTTGGCTCAATGCACCCTATGCCTACTGGGTTCAAGCAATTCTCCTGCCTCAGCCTCCTGAATGGCTGGGACTACAGGCATGTGCCACCACACCCAGCTAATTTTTGTATGTTTACTAGAGACGGGGGTTTCACCATGTTGGCCAAGCTGGTCTCAAACTCCTGGCCTCAAATGATCTGCCCACCTTAGCCTTCCAACGTGCTGCACTCTAGGCATGTGCCACCATGACTGACTAATTTTTGTATTTTTAGTAGAGATGGGGTTTCACCATTTTAGCCAGGCTGATCTCGAACTCCTGGTCTCAAATGATCGGCCCGCCTCGGCCTTCCGATGTGCTGGGATTACAGGCGTGAGCCACCCACACTTGGCCTCATAAATGTGGCTGCTTATTTTTTGAATGGTGAAAATAACCTCTAATCACAGAAGCCTGAGGAGAACTTAATTACAGTCACTGAAAAAAATTAAGTGAGGGAAACCTAGCAGTAGCAAAGAAGTAAAAGTAGATGTGGTTTATTAAGCTTTTTCGTTCTAAAAATTCCTCCTTCTCCAAACTAAACGAAATGGAAGTTACCAGCTGGTTAACAATTCTTCAAATGAATAATCTTTTCTCTTCCAGGGAAAGGGAGGGCTTTGGAATTACCCTAAAATATTTGTCATTATTACTATTATTCTTTCCCCAAATAATATGAGGCATGGAGTCACTGGCAGTTTATTTTTTGTAATTTAGAAATATTATTATTCCTCCGAGAATTATCTATTTTCTCCCCACCAAATACTGGCTTGCAGACTGTTTCGTTTTGTGGTAGAAAGGAACCTGCAGTATCCTAACATTTTTTTCTTCATGAAATATATCTTCCATACGTTCTTCAGTTCTTCCAACCTGCACTGATCCTGATCTTTTAATAGTTCTTTCAGAGAAGTAAGGGACAGAAAACTTTTGAAGTTTTCAATAATGTAGCATGTTTTTCCTCCTAGGATAAGATTTATCATTGACATTTCTACATTTTCCGTGGTAGAAGCAGAGCCAGCATCACCAACTCTTTTAAACTTATTCCTGATTGATGTTTAACAAATCCCAGAACTCTAGAAGACAGCATCGACAGAACAATGAATGGGGGCAACAAATTTCTCACCCCAAACCACCCTTATTTTTAACACTATATTTCAGTCTTAACTTTTCCTTCTTCTACAGTAGCAGTATTTGCAGTCAGGAGAGGGAAAATAAAAAAGAGATGCTCAGAAAAAGACAAATAAAATACAGTATGTGAAAAATGCTTATTTGTGAAGCAGTAAATTCTAGTCACCCTTCAATATGCTCAGACATTCCGATAGCTGAAAAATTAAAAATCAAGATATAATGTATATATTATATAGTTTTGTCTTTAAACAGTAAGAGCAATCCCTCCACCTAAAAATAAGAGAGAGAACCCTCCTCATGCAGCAACAATGCATTACTGATTGTCCAAATCACCACGGTTTGTTACACAATTATAAACCCATTTCATGAAGGAAGAAAACAACTGAATTATGCTTAGCTCAGGGGAGACATTTTACTCTTCCAGAAAGTAAAAATAAATAACTTTGTCAACCAAATTATTTAAATAACAATAAAAGCTGCACGTGTCCATATTTAGTTCATTAAACAACTTTTACTGCCATCATTGGCAATAGTCTAGAAACATTACCCCCTACTCATGCACACACACACGCACACACACACACACACGTTCATATGCCCACACACAGAGGTACAGACAGCAAACAAATTGATGGGGTTCACTTGGACTAATCATAGTATGTTAGTAATTTAGTAAGTGGGTATGCTTTTTCGTTAATCAATACAGAGTTGTCATTTGTTGCACATCTGATATGCAACTACTGAAAATGTCAGAAGCCCAGGTGCAGTGGCTCACACCTGTAATCCTAGCATTTTGGGAGGCTGAAGTGGGTGGATCACTTGAGATCAGGAGTTTGAAACCATCCTGGCAAACATGGCGAAAACCCCATCTATAGTAAAAATACAAAAATTAGCCAGGTATGATGGCGCATGCCTGTAATGCAAGAAAATCACTTGAACCCGGGAGGCAGAAGCTGCAGTAAGCCAAGATCGGGCCACTGCACACCAGCCTGGGCGACAGAGTGAGACTCTGTCTCTAAAAACAAAAGAAAAAAAAAAAAAGAAAATGTCAGAAAAGGACTTCATGCACTTATTCTAGTTAAGATATGAAAGTAATGTTATTCCTCGGAGAAAATTAACAAAGACTTCCTAGCCTGAGAAGAAGCTGACACGTTTTCCTCCACAGCCAATCCAATGACCAGTTCACATATTTCTTGGCACACTAGCCAAGAATATTAAATTTTATACATTAAGCTTCATCTTAGTGCTTAATCTTAGCTATTATTGCTAACATAATCTTAATGTCTTCTAAGGTTATATATTGATATTAAAAAGAATTCCTTTACATTTGATCACTATGATATCTTTTCCTATTTTAACCATTATTGCTATCACATTAACCTGAGACTTTTGTCCAATAAAGGAATTTTAAAATTCTTTATAACAGGACTTTATTACAGGCTCAGGTAGTATATTTTGTATTAATTATAAAACTAAATTGTAATTCAAATGAACATGTTTACAGTTTACAAATAGTTTTATTCTTTAGATTTATTTGTCTTATTTATCAAAAAGTATTTTATAAGGTTGTTTTGCTCAGATTTGTACTCCAATTATTTAAATAACAATGGATGAGAATTTAATAAAGATATAATAAAGAAACTTCATCATGGACTTCACTTAGTGCCAAACACAAAGACTTCATAAGAATAAAGGATGCAAAGACAGGTCTCCTTCAACTACAAATTAGAATAGATATTTGTAAATTTTTTGTTAGATTTAGGTAATTCATATTTCATAGCTACAGGAGGAGTCTGGGTTTGAAGGAAGGGATTCCCAGTTGTTGTTATAAACAGTGCTGCACCTTTGCCTCTTCAGCTATCTCAGCTTATTATTTTTGTGGGGTGTGGCATCGAAACTATAAACAGATATTATTGTCGGATTTACTGTTTTTTCCTTATATAAAAACATATATCTTTATTGAGACTAAATAATATAAATGACTTTCTTCAAAGGTAATTAGGGGACTTCTGATAGTTTGTCCTCTTCTTACAAGTTACTTTATGTTTATGATTCATATAAGTTTCTCCAGAGTTGCAAAACATTTCCTTCTACTATTCTGGCAAGACATCATGCAACAATACTCATACAAATAGATGCATATTCACATTATATATATTATGTATATATAAAAATTGTGTGTGTGTACATATATATATATACACATATATATATATATAAACTTTTTTTTTTTTAGAGACAAGATCTCCCTATGTTGCCCAGGCTGTTCTCGAACTCCTGAGCTCAAGGGATCCTCCTGCTTCAGCCACCCAGAGTGCTAGGATTATAGGCGTGAGCCACCGTACCCAGCCTCACGTAATATTTCTCCTTCAGTTATGAACTTTATCTTTGCCATATTTCATATATGCCTCATAAGTCAGAAATTAAACTTTTTAATGATAGAATGCAAGTTGCTAGGCAAAGAAGTAGATGCATAAATAGCCATTCTATATTAAACCTTAACTCTAATAATATTTTAAAATAAGTAAATGAAAGCATAAACAGCATGACATAGGGATAATGTCGATTAAAACCTCATTAGAGGAAAAAAAATCCACAGACTTGAATCAAGGGCAACAAGAATTACTCATTGTGATGAAAAATTATATAAATCTAAATTAGGTAAACTGAAAATGATAAACAGTTATCATATGTAACTATAACAACTAAAAGAAAAACTGAAGTAATTGGCTGTGGCAGTGGCTTACACCTGTAATCCCAGCACTTTGGGAGGCTGAGGTGGGTGGATCTCGAGGTCAGGAGTTTGAGACCAGCCTGGCCAATATGGTGAAACCCCTTCTCTACTAAAAATACAAAAATTAGCCAGGTATGGTGGCACGTGCCTGTAATCCCAGCGACTTGGGAGGCTGAGGCAGGAGAACTGCTTGAGCACTGGAGGCGGAGGTTGCAGTGAGCTGGTTTCGCGCCACTGCCCTCCAGCCTGGGCAACAGAGCAAGACTGCATCTCATAAAATAAATAAATAAATAAATAAATAAATAAATAAATAAATAAATAAAACTTACATAGTGAAAAATGGCACGGTATCACTATTATATGTTCATATTAAGGTAAAAGCCTATGCTCATCAAATATGTTTTTTCAGATAACACAATTTCCTTTTTTTTTTCTTTTTTTTTTTTCCGAGATGGAGTTTCACTCTTGTCGCCCAGGCTGGAGTTCAATGGCACGATCTCGGCTCACTGCAACCTCCGCCTCCTGGGTTCAAGAGATTCTCTTGTCTCAGCCTCCTGGGTAGTTGGGATTACAGGCACCCGCCACTATGCCCAGCTAATTTTTTCTATTTTTAGTAGAGACCAGGTTTCACCATGTTGACAAGGCTGGTCTTGAACTCCTGACCTCAGGTGATCCGCCTGCTTCAGCCTCCCAAAGTGCTGGGATTACAGGCGTGAACCACCATGCCTGGCCAGATAACACAATTTTTTGGCCTAATCATAATAATGCTTTTATTTATTCATCATCATGGGGAATTAAGTGCTACAAATTATTTATTTTTCAAAATAACTAAAGGCAAACAGCATTCAATCAATACTCGATCCATTTTTTAAGCAGACCAAAAATAAACGTCTTTGTTCAGTAGGATTTTTAAATCAAATTGAAGTCTGTGATTTCAAAATAGTTTATTGCTGTATAGTTCCTTCCCCATCTCAAGGTGTACACAAAAAAAGATAACTTCGTCTCTTCCTTCTATTTCATGGTCATCAGCATAATGTACTAAGAGTGATTTCACATTCACTGAATGAATCCAGAGAGTATATCATGGTTAGTATGTGCATTATTTCAAGGGATTCTAAAAATGCTATTTTCTTCTATATGAGGCTATTCCTTTTGATACCCCATCAAAAATATGGACTTTAATGGGCAGTGGCCTAGGAAGTCATGTAAACAAGGAGCAATAACAAGTATAGGGCATGTATTTCAGTATAAAGGTAATAGAATATAAGACATGATTAGAGACCCTTATATATTTTTATTTGCTTGCTTACTTCTGAGTCCATAGCTTTATTCTAATTAGTTGAAGTGTCTTAAATTTTAATATCCATTATAAGGATTATTATTGTTACTGCATGTCCATCTAAGTCAGAATATTACGAAAAGAAAGGGCTGAGGCTGGGCGCGGTGGCTCACGCCTGTAATCCCAGCACTCTGGGAGGCCGAGGCAGGCGGATCACGAGGTCAGGAGAAAAAGACCATCCTGGCTAACACGGTGAAACCCTGTCTCTACCAAAAATACAAAAAATTTGCCGGGCGTGGTGGCGGGCACCTGTAGTCCCAGCTACTTGGGAGGCTGAGGCAGGAGAATGGCGTGAATCCAGGAGGCGGAGCTTGCAGTGAGCCGAGATCGCGCCACTGGACTCCAGCCTGGGCGACAGAGCAAGACTCTGTCTCAAAAAAAAAAAAAAAAAAAAAGAAAAGAAAAGAAAGGGCTGAGAGCACTGGCTCACACCTGTAATCTCAGCACTTTGGGAGGCCGGGATAGGAGGCTCATTTGAGCCCAAGAGTTGAGTCTAGCCTGGGAAACATGGCAAAACCCCATCTCTACAAGAAAAAAAAAATTAGCCAAATATGGTGGTATGCACCTTTAGGCTCAGCTACTAGGGAGGCTGAGGTGGGGGGATTGATGGATCCCAGAAAGTTGAGGCTGCAGTGAGCCATGATAGTGCCACTGGACTCCAAGCTGGGTGACAGAGTGAGGCTCTATCAAAAATTAAAATAGAAAAGAAAAGAAAAGAAAAAATAAGTAAATAAAAATAAATAAATAAAACTTACATAGTGAAAAATGGTATGGTATCATGAAAAGAAAAGAAAAAAAAAGACAAGACAAAACAAAACAAAACAAAAGAGGCCAGGCGCAGTGGCTCACACCTGTAATCCCAGCACTTTGGGAGGCTGAGGGTGGCAGATCACGAGGTCAGGAGTTTGAGACCAGCCTGGCCAAAATAGTCAAACCCTGTCTCTACTAAAAATACAAAAATTAGCTGGGCATGGTGGTGCATGCCTCTAGTCCCAGCTATTCAGGAGGCTGAGGCAGGAGAATCGCTTGAACCTGGGAGGCAGAGGTTGTGGTGAGCCAAGATCACAACACTGCACTCCAGCCTGGGCAACAGAGCAAGACTCCATCTTGAAAAAAAAAAAAGAAAACACAAAGTAAAATAACTGTTAAAAAATGCAGTATGACCTACATAGTATCAGGAAATATTTAATAGTGCTTTTTTGGTGTAATAACTTCAAGAGGCAAAACATTTATTAAATGGTGACTAAATTTAATAAATTAAATTTCAGTTTGATAGACCAGATAAGAATTTTAATGCTACTTCATTTGTTCATTCACTCATTCATTCATTCATTCATTCAAGTATTCATTCAACAAAGATCTGAATAAATGTGTTCCACCTACTGCTAAGTACCTGGCTAACAGAAGGAGAAGAAAGTACACAGTCAGTTCCTCAGGGTATGAAGACAAAAATTAGTAATCATACAAATATATAATAGCAAACTGTGATCACTGATAGGAAGGGAAAGTACAAGATGCAATGAGATCAAATATCAGGTGGACTTAATCAGGTCTGCAATTCAGAAGGCTTCCTAGAGGAAGTGAATTTCTATGCTCTGAGCCAAAGGATGAAAGGTTATTAACAAAGCAGGTGTGAGGTGCAGGAGACAGTAATCTATCCTATGTAAAGCCCTTGAGAAAGAAAATAAATGTAGGTCATTTGAAGGATGTCCAATACAGGTTAATAAAAACTACTGACTATATTATCCCTAAAATATTTTTATTCATTAAAGATATGTATCCTATTCAGTAGGAAGCTAAATTTCTTAAAAGTAAACTTTATTTGAATATTTCCTCAAGTTTTACCTGTGACTACAGTAGGTAATTAAAAACAACTACTTTGAATATTTTCTTGAGTGAAATTATTATCATGGCCATGCTCAGAGAAAAATGCATAGTCTATCAATATCTGGTAAATACTGTACAGAAGAATGCATTCCAATATGCTAATCTTTACTTTGGATTTATTATTTACCAAAAGATATTAGAGAATAAATGTTTGGTTTACCCCTTGCAATGAAAGCAGAGTCCCTGTGCCCTCAAACAAGTACTAGGAATCCCATTAGGAGCCACAGATCATATCCTATAGATGAAGCTTAGGGCTTTACATTCCTAATCATGTACTTTGGAATGAATTCTGAAATGTTTTTGCAAACGATTTTCACTCTTCCCATTCACTTTTTCTAAACCCATTCCCATGAGTAGGTGAAATTGGGGCCCATTTATTCAGACAAGGTTCTGGTTTAGGCTCCTTAATTTATAGACTCTTCAACTTTATATTCTCCTTAGATAATCCAGCTAAGCCAGGTAAGATTTCTGAACCTTATGTTCTTGCTGAAGAGTACAAACTTTGTACTCTTTGCTATCTAATCCTTATCAAAATTCTAGTTGAAAGAAATAATATTTATGGAGGATTGCCTAAATGACATACAGAGCATCTGTTACTCAGGCCAGATAGTCTGCATTTTACATCTCAATCTGATCAGACCATGAATGAACTAATTCTAACGACAAATGCAATGTGTTAGCACCTCTTACGATTGATTTTACTGAACTTCACGTTGGAGTTACCTACTTGGCACACACTGATTATTATCATAAGAAATAGCTTTGTTGTATCTATTATGGGGTTACTGCTTATACACTATATTACACAGTGTGTCTTCATGAGAACTAGACAAAATTATTGTAGGTCTAAGCATCTGGAAAAACTATGATTCCATCTAGCAGCTGCTTAAATTTTTTTTATACATAGCATTCATAAGATAACTGAATATGTTGCCTCCTTTAATTTAGCTGCTAAGTACATCAAAGATAGATGGAAGCCCATCTCAGCAACCGAACGGGTCTATACAGAAAATATTTCTGTGATCCATTCCTATTCTAGCTTTATTATTTTCCTCCATATATTTCCTCTAACTTTGATTAGATCCATTGTTTATTATAATGGTAGCAAATTGACTAAAATCTTTCTGAAATGATGGAATATACAAAATCCTATAACTCTTTAAGATAGAACAGATAAATTTAATGTTTACAGATATATACTGAGAAAATTAGATTTTCCAATATCCAAGGATTAAAAAAAATTATCAGTCATGATTATTTGTATTTTAACTTCATATATCCCACCATGTTCTGAAATTTACCATGTGATCCAGGATAAAATATGCCATTTTTGCTTATATTTTGTACATTTTTTAGAGAAAAAATGTTTAATCTTATCTGAAAGAAAGGATACCAGAGAATAACATGGGGAAAAAATGGAAGACTATATGGAATTTCAAATACTATTAATCGTATAAACTTACATTCTGGATAGTCTGGGTATATGGTTCAGAAGCAAAAACAATCAGAGACAACTAACTTCCCCATTGTCCAGTGTTTTGATCCTCCTACATTATGTAAAATAACATCATATTAAGTTGGAAATCTTTATAGACTACTATTTGCACCAATAATACATTTTTTAAAGAATTAAATTTACCTGTACAATAGTATTGAATACCTAAAAGTTTAATGTAAGAACATAAATCTACTTGTAACATAAAGGATAAATGCTTGAGGAGATGAATATCTCATTCTCCATGATATGATTATTTCTCTTTGCATGCCTGTATCAAAACATC